>NC_000011.10:32484242-32635757 GCF_000001405.40 Homo sapiens | reverse complement strand
TACAAGAACATTATAACAAATTATGCAATCAAAAAACATTTGAGGAAGACAAAAAGTTTCAGGTAAAATTTAAGTATGTTGTGGGGTACAAACTATCAAAGAAATTAAGACTGTCACTATGATTTTTTTCCCTGTTTTATACTTTAAGTTTCTCAACTTTAAAAAAATGAGTATATGCATATGGTCTCTAATACATTTTTAGTTAATTTTTGTATACAGTATGACATAAGAATTGAAGGTCATTTTTTTATATGAATTTCCAATTGTCCCAGCACAAATATTTGTCGAAAACACTATTTTCTCTCCCACTGTACCTTAGTACTTTCTTTGAAAATCAGTTGATCAAATATATATGGGTCTATTTCTGGACTCTTTATTATGATCCATTGATTATATGTCTATACTTAAGCCAGTACAACACTGTCTTTATTAATGTAGCTTTTAAAGAAGCTATAAAACGTAGCTAAGTCCTTCAATATTGTTCTTTTTCCAAAAAAGCTTTTTCTATTCTAAGTCCTATATTTTCTTATCACTTTTAGAATCAATGTCTCAATTTCTGTTTTAAAAGTCTGTGGGTTTTATTTGGCATTGAGTCTTCCAGTCGATGAACATGGTATAGCTTCCATTTATTTGGATATTTTAAAATGTCTCTCAGAAATGTTTTGTAGTTTTTATCATATAGGTCTTGGAAATTTTAGGTTAAATTTATTCCTGGATATTTTATGTCTTGGGATCCTAATGTAAACAGTGCTTACAATTTTTATAATTGTTCTTTGCTTATATATAGAAGTACATTTTTTTCAAGACAAGGTCTTACTATGTTGTCCAGGCTGTACATGAACTCCTGGGCTCAAGTGATGCTCCCACTTCAGGCTTCTGAGTAGCTGGGATTACAGGGATGAACTGCCATGCCCAGCTTAGAAGTACAATTGGTTTTTGTATATTGACCTCATTTTTAAATTAAGTTATTGTTATAATAGTTGTTTTCGTTGAACTTTGGGGGTTTCTATAATATATGATCATGTTGTCTGCAAGTTTAAGACAGTTTTACTTTCTTTCTAAAATGCTGTATGCTTTTTCTTTTTCTCAATTTATGCACTAGCTAGGACCCTCTAATCTAATGTTGAATAACAATTGTGAGAGTGGGCATGCTTGCCTTGTTTCTCATCTTAAATGGAGACTAGTCTTTCACCATTTCTTATCATTTTAGCTATATGTTTTTGTTTATACTCTTTATCAGTTTGAGAACGTTTCCTTTCATATCTGGTTTGCTGAGCTTTTATCACAAATGAGTTTTTATCATGAAAGGACATTAAATTTTGTCAAATGCTTTTTTCTGTGTCTATTAAGATGATTGGGTTTTTTTTATTCTTTTCATATTAATTACATCAGTTGACTTCCAGATGTTAACCTGCATTCCTGGGATAAACTTGAGTTGATCATTATATATTATCCTTTTTATATATGGCTGGACTTAAATTGCTAGTGCTTTGTTAAGGATTTTGTATTGATGAGGAATGTAAGTTTTGTTTGTTTTTTCTTTGCAATATTTGAACTGGTTTTTGCGTCAAGAGTAATACTGGTCAAGTAAACTCAGTTGGAATATATTCCTTTCAATGTATAGAGTTGGTATGATTTCTTTATTGAATGTTAGGTCTAATTCACCAGTGGAGCTATGTAGACTTTCTTGGTGGGAATATTTTAAATAACAAATTCAGTATTTAAATTATTTACAGGGCTATTCAGATTCTCATTTCTTCTTATGTTGGTGTGCAGGAAAGAGTTAACATAGCACCCCTGTGAATGCTGTACTTAGAAAGACCTCCTAGCAAAGTTGGCCCCTGGCTGATGCCTGGAAACTTGAATTTTGGGAGGATTCTCACCATTTCCTAACAAGAGTGGCTCACTGTACCTAAACTATTAGTACAAACAATGTGGTTTATTCTGAACAACTGCTTTCTTTCTGGGATTCTAGAATTTTGGCACATGCTACATAGAGGGTACCTGCATGAACAGCACCCTCCCCCAAAAAACTTTGGGTGCTGAGTCTCTAATGAGCTTCCCTGGTAGACAGCAATTCACATAAGTTGTCACAATTCAATGCTGTAGGAGTTAAGCTTGTCTTATGTGACTCTATTAGAAGATGACCTTTGGAAGTCTGGTTTACTCCAGACTGCAACTCATGTGCCTTTTCCTTTACCTATTTTTCTTCGTATTATTTCTCTATAATACATCTTAGTCATGTGTATGGGTATATATTGAGTCCTATGAGTCCTCCTAATGAATCTGATTTGGGGTGTTGTGGGACCCCAAAAGAGCCAGTTGGGGTAATTTTTATCTTTCAAAGAACTTGTCCTTTTCATAAGTTGTCAAATTTATTGGCTAGGGTTGCTCATAATATTCTCTTATTATTATAGTCCTCTAGGATCAAATTGATGCCCCTCTGTCATTCTTGATATTTGTAATTTGTATCTTCTCTCTCTCGCTCTCTGTTTGTCTTGATCATTTGAGTTAGAAGTTTTCAGTTTTATTGATCTTTTCAAAGAACCAGGTTTTGGGCCAGGTGCAGTGGCTTACTCGGGAGGCTGAGGCAGGGGAATCCCTTGAACCTGGGAGGCAGAGATTGCAGTGAGCCGAGATCGTGCCACTGCACTCCAGCCTGGCAACAGAGTGAGACTCCGTCTCAGGAAAAAATAACAAACAAAAAACAGGTTTTGATTTCATTCATTTCTCTCCCATGTTTATTTATTTGCTATTTCATGGATTTTTGCTATTAATTTTCTTATTTCCTTTACTCTGCTTACTTTGGGTTTAATTTGGTTTTCTTCTAGCTGCTTAAGCTTGAAACATAGATTATTTACCTTTCTTCTTTTCTAATATAAGCACTTAAAGCTATAACATTTCCTCTTAGCACTGCTTTGGTTCCATCCCACAAACTATGATATGTAGTTTTTTCATTTTCATTCGGTTAAAAAAACTATATATATATATTTTAGTAAAGTATACACAACATACACACACACATATAAACATGAAGCAAAAACTGACAGAACTGAAAAGAGAAAGATAAATTCACAGTTATAATGAAAGATTTTAACATTCTTCTCCCACTAATTGATAGAACAATTATACACACATACACACACACACACACAATCTGTAAGGATACAGAAGACTTGGACAATACCAACTAACTTGGCCTAATTGACATTTATAAAACATTCCACCAACCGGCCGGGCACGGTGGCTCACACCTGTAATCCCAGCACTTTGGGAGGCTGAGGCGAGTGGATCACCTGAGCTCAGGAGTTCAAGACCACCCTGGGCAACATGGCAAAAGCCCGCCTCTATTAAAATAGGAAAAATTATCCGGGCATGGTGGCACGCGCCTGTAGTTCCAGCTACTTGAGAGGCCGAGTCACGAGAATTGCTTGAGCCTTGGAGGCAGAGGTTGCAGTGAGGCAAGATGGCACCACTGCACCCCAGCTTGGGCTACAGAGTGAGACTCCGTCTCAAAGAAAACAAACAACAAAAATAAACCTTCCACCAACCAACAGCAGAACACACATTCTCTTCAGCAGCACATGAAATATTCACCAAGATAGGCAATATACACAAAAAATAAGTCTTAGTACATTTAAAAGGGTTAAAGTCTTACCTAGAATGTTCCCTGACCACACCTAAATTAAATTTGAAGTCACTAACAGAAATATATTTGGAAAATTCTCAAATGTTTGGAAATTTAACAACATATTTCCAGTGGGTCATACTCATACCCATATCCATGGGTCAGAGAGAACCTCACAAGAGAAATCTTAAAATTTTTGAGCATGGACAACATAGCAAAATCCCATGTATATATCTCTGTGTCTGTCTGTCTATCTGCCTGCCTGCCTGCCTATATGTCTATTGAAAGAGAGACAGGGTCTTGCTCTGTCACCCAGGCTGGAGTGTAGTGAGTGGTGTGATCACACCTCACTGCAGCCTCAATCTGCCAGGCTCAAGCAATCCTCCCACCTCAGCCTGACTATGGGTGCACACCACCACACCAGCTAGCTTGCTGCTTCCTTTCTTCCTTTTCTTCCTTTCCTTCCTTCCTTTCCTTCCTTTCCTTTCCTTTCCTTTCCCGTCCCTTCCCTTCCCTTCCCTTCCTTTCCTTCCTTTCCTTCCTTTCCTTCCTTTCCTGATGAGGTTTCACCATGTTGCCCAGGCTCAAAATATTTTAGGATTTTTCTTGTGGTGTCTCCTCTGACCCATGGGTATTGAGTATCACCCATTGGAAATATGTTGTTTAATTTCCAAACATTTGAGAAAATTCCAAATATCTTCCTATTAATGATTTCGAATTTAATTTGGTTTTGGTCAGGGAACATTCTAGGTAAGACTTTAATCCTTTTAAATGTACTAAGACCTATTTTTTGGCCAAGTGTATTATCTATCTTGGTGAATATTTCATGTGCTGTTGAAGAGAATGTGTGTTCTGCTGTTGGTTGGTGGAATGTTTTATAAATGGCAATTAGATAAAGTTGGTTGGTATTGTCCAAGTCTTCTCTATCCTTACAGATTGTGTGTGTATCTGTGTCTGTGTTCTATCAATTAGTGGGAGAAGAATGTTGAAATCTTTAATCATAACTGTGAACTTATCTTCCTCTTTTCAGTTCAGTCAGGTTTTGCTTCATGTGTTTGTAAGTCCTGTTATTAGCTATATGATTTATGATTGTTATGACACATTTATTGTTCTGATTTCCTGATTGACCTTTTTATCATTATGAAATATCCATATTTATCCTAGTAATATCTCTTGTCTTAAGGTGTGTTTTGTCTGATAATAATATAGCTATTTCATCTTTTGATTAACATTTGTATTATATATCTTTTTCATCTTGTTACTTTTTTATGGGAGTAGTCATATTTCCTTTTCTTATGTTGAATTATAACATGAGGAAATCTTTAATGTTCTCTTTTTTTTGAGAACTGTTGATTGTATTTTGTTACTGTAGTAAAATGTACATATTGTTTGCTATTTTAACCATTTTTATGTGTATAGTTCAGTGGCATTAAGTACATTCAGAAGTGGGCATGGTTATGTACCAGTAAAATTATATTTACAAAAACAGCTGGGTGCAGTGGCTGATGCCTGTAATCCCAGCACTTTGGGAGGTTGAGCCAAGTGGATCACTTGAGGTGAGGAGTTCGAGACCAGCCTGACCAACATGGTGAAACCCCATCTCTACCAAAATGCAAAACTTAGGCAGATGTGGTGACGTGCGCCTGTGATCTCAGCTACTTGGGAGGCTGAGGCAGGAGAATCACTTGAACCCAGGAGGTGGAGGTTGCAGTGAGCTGAGATCCACCACTGCACTCCAGCCTGGGCAACAGAGCGAGACTCCATCTCCCTCTCCCTTCCCCGCAAAACAAAACAAAACAAAACAAACAAACAAAAAAACAGGCAGCAGGCTGCATTTGGCCATTTGACTGTAGTTTGCCAATCCTTATTCTAGAGTTTAATTTATCGTGTATACTTTCCAATAATATTATACCAAAGTTTATAAGAAACTTGCAATACTACATTATCATTTTCTCCTTCCTGTCCTTTGTGTTGTTGTTATCATACATTTTACTTCTATATGTTATAAAACCTACCATATATTATTTATTTCAGAGAATTATCTGACAAAGAAAATTAAAAATGAGATAAAGTATCTTTTCTATTCACCACCACATTTACCACTTCTGTCACTCTTTATTCCTTTGTTTAGATCCACATGTCCACCTGGTATATTTCTTCAACCTGAAGAACTTCCTTTTAACGTTTTTTTTTTGTTTTTTTTTTTTTGCATATCTGCTGGAATTCTTTCCAGCTTTTGTTTGTCTGAAAAGGTGGTTTATTTCTCCTTAATTTTAAAGAATATTTTCACTGGATATAAAATTCTAGATAATTTTTCTTTCATTAATTTTAAGATGCCATTCCATTTTTTTTTTTTTTTGGCTTGCATTGCTTCTGGCAAGAGGTCTATGACAATTCTTATATTTATAACCCATCTTTATAAGTGTCTTTATATCGGCTGGGCACGGAGGCTTACGCCTGTACCAGCACTTTGGGAGGCCAAGGCGGGCAGATCATGAGGTCAGGAGATCGAGACCATCCTGGCTAACACGGTGAAACCCCGTCTCTACTAAAAATACAAAAATTCGCCGGGCGTGGTGGCGCATGCCTGTAATCCCAGCTACTCAATAGGCTGAGGCAGGAGAACGCTTGAACCCGGGAGGTGGAGTTTGTGGTGAGCCGAGATCGCGCCACTCCAGCCTGGGCAAACTCCGCCTCAAAAAAAAAAAAAAGTGTCTTTATATCTCTGACAGCTTTTAAGATTTTTCCTTCATGTCTGTTTTCAAGCAGTTTGATTATGATGTACCTTGGTATGGTTTTCTTGGTGCATATCTTGCTTGGAATTTATTGAATTTCTTGGCTATATATAGTTTTCATTAAATTTGGAGAAGTTTTGGTCATTTCTTCAATTTTTTTTTCTGTCCCCCTCTACTTTCTGGGACTTCAGTTACACACGTTAGACTGCTTAATATTGTCCCACAGGTTACTGAGGATCTACTGCATATTTTTTCAGTCTTTTTTTCCCTCTCTGCTTCAGTTGGGATTGTTTCTGTTGTTATGTCCTGAAGTTCATTTGTATTTCTTTTTTAAATGTCTAATCTGCTATTAAGCCTATTCAGTGAGTTTTTAATTTTATTTACTGTAAATTTCATCTCTAAAATTTCCATTTGGTTCGTTTTTTTCTTTTGGGATTTAAAATTTTTCTCTTCATTATGTTCGTATCATTGTCCTTTAAATCCTTGAACATTTGTAATAGCTGTTTTAAAGTTCCTTTGCTAATTCTATTACCTCTGTCATTTCTGTATTTGTTTTGATTACATTATAAATAGTGACATAACAGGTAACATTTTCCTGCTTCTCTCCCTGTCCAGTAAATTTTTATTGTGTTAGAACATTTTGAATTTTACATTGCTGATTGCTAGATTTTGCTATCTTTATTTCAAGAATGTCAAAGTTTCACAGGAGGTTAAGTTACTTGCTGATAAGCTTCATCATTTTGAGGTTTATTTTTAAACTTATGGAAGCATCTAGAATAGCCCTAGAATGGCATGATCCTGCTGGGGTCTCTACAAAATGTCCCAGTTATTCAGTAAGTTCATTCCTCTCTGGCTTGTTGGAACTCAGAGTTTACCTAGACCTGTGGGAGCTCTGGAAATTGCTCAGCTTGTGGCGCCCCTGCAAGTCTTCATGGACTTTTACTACTCACATGTCCAACTTAATATCCAGCAACAGATTAAATAGCAGATGCCTGGAGCTCTTTTTCTGGGTAGCGCCTTCATCTTCAGTACATTGCCTCACAAATTACAGCCAGTTTAGCCTCTCTAAATTCCGATGTTTGTCTTCCCAACTCAGACCATCTTTTTTGCAAGAGTGCCCCTTCCTTGTGCTATGGTGTAGCAAGTGTCTAGGCAGTAAGCCTGAGTAATCATAGGGTTCATCTCACTTTTTCCTCTTTCTCTCAGAGAACGCAATTTTCCCTGTTTGTAGTTCATTGTCTAAAAACTGTTGTTTCATACACTGTATCTAGTTTACTAGTAATTTACAGTGGGAAGGCAAGTCAAGTTCTCTGGTATGGCTGGAAGTCTAAATTTTAAAGATCATACAATATACGTTCTAGGGAAGTATACTATTTTTAAAGAGCTCTGTAATTAGTCCTTAAAGCAGATATTTTTATTTTTTTATTATACTTTAATTTTTAGGGTATATGTGCACAACCTGCAGATTTGTTACATATGTATACATGTGCCATGTTGGTGTGCTGCACCCATTAACTCGTCATTTAACATTAGGTATATCTCCTAATGCTATCCCTCCCCGCTCCCCTCACCCCACAACAGGCCCCGGTGTGTGATGATTCCCTTCCTGTGTCCATGTGTTCTCATTGTTCAATTCCCACCTATGAGTGAGAACATGCGGTGTTTGGTTTTTTGTCCTTGCGATAGTTTGCTGAGAATGATGGTTTCCAGCTTCATCCGTGTTCCTACAAAGGACATGAACTCATCCTTTTTTATGGCTGCATAGTATTCCATGGTGTATATGTGCCACATTTTCTTAATCCAGTCTCTCATTGATGGACATTTGGGTTGGTTCCAAGTCTTTGCTATTGTAAATAGTGTCGCAATAAACATACGTGTGCATGTGTCTTTATAACAGCATGCTTTATAATCCTTTGGGTATATACCCAGTAATGGGATGGCTGGGTCAAATGGTATTTCTACTTCTAGATCCCTGAAGAATCGCCACACTGACTTCCACAGTGGTTGAACTAGTTTACAGTCCCACCAACAGCGTAAAAGTGTTCCTATTTCTCCACATCCTCTCCAGCACCTGTTGCTTCCTGACTTTTCAATGATCGCCATTCTAACTGGTGTGAGATGGTATCTCATTGTGGTTTTGATTTGCATTTCTCTGATGGCCAGTGATGATGAGAATTTTTTCATGTGTCTTTTGGTTGAATAAATATCTTCTTTTGAGAAGTGTCTGTTCATATCCTTCGCCCACTTGTTGATGGGGTTGTTTGTTTTTTTCTTGTAAATTTGTTTGTATTCTTTGTAGATTCTGGATATTAGCCCTTTGTCAGATGAGTAGAATGCAAAAATTTTCTTCCATTCTGTAGGTTGCCTGTTCACTCTGATGGTAGTTTCTTTTGCTGTGCAGAAGCTCTTTAATTAGATCCCATTTATCAATTTTGACTTTTGTTGCCATTGCTTTTGGTGTTTTAGACATGAAGTCCTTGCCCATGCCTATGTCCTGAATGGTATTGCCTAGGCTTTCTTCTAGAGTTTTTATGGTTTTAGGTCTAACATGTAAGTCTTTAATCCAGCTTGAATTAATTTTTGTATAAGGTGTAAGGAAGGGATCCAGTTTCAGCTTTCTACATGTGGCTAGCCAGTTTTCCCAGCACCATTTATTAAATAGGGAATCCTTTCCCCATTTCTTTTTGTCAGGTTTGTCAAAGATCAGATAGTTGTAGATATGTGGCATTATTTCTGAAGGCTCTGTTCTGTTCCATTGGTCTATATCTCTGTTTTGGTACCAGTACCATGCTGTTTTGGTTACTGTAGCCATGTAGTATAGTTTGAAGTCAGGTAGCGTGATGCCTCCACCTGTGTTCTTTTGGCTTAGGATTGACTTGGCAATGTGGGCTCTTTTTTGGTTCCATATGAACTTTAAAGTAGTTTTTTCCAATTCTGTGAAGAAAGTCATTGGTAGCTTGATGGGGATGGCATTGAATCTATAAATTACCTTGGGCAGTATGGCCATTTTCACGATATTGATTATTCCTACCCATGAGCATGGAATGTTCTTCCATTTGTTTGTATCCTCTTTTATTTCCTTGAGCAGTGGTTTGTAGTTCTCCTTGAAGAGGTCCTTCACGTCCCTTGTAAGTTGGATTCCTAGGTATTTTATTCTCTTTGAAGCAATTGTGAATGGGAGTTCACTTATGATTTGGCTCTCTGTCTGTTATTGGTGTATAAGAATGCTTGTGGGTTTTGCACATTGATTTTGTATCCTGAGACTTTGCTGAAGTTGCCTATCAGCTTAAGGAGATTTTGGGCTGAGACGATGGGGTTTTCTAGACATACAATCATGTCATCTGCAAACAGGGACAATTTGACTTCCTCTTTTCCTAATTGAATACCCTTTATTTCCTTCTCCTGCCTGACTGCCCTGGCCAGAACTTCCAACACTATGTTGAATAGGAACGGTGAGAGAGGGCATCCCTGTCTTGTGCCAGTTTTCAAAGGGAATGCTTCCAGTTTTTGCCCATTCAGTATGATATTGGCTGTGGGTTTGTCATAGATAGCTCTTATTAGTTTGAGATACGTCCCATCAATACCTAATTTATTGAGAGTTTTTAGCATGAAGGGCTGTTGAATTTTGTCAAAGGCCTTTTCTGCGTCTACTGAAATAATCATGTGTTTTTTGTCGTTGGTTCTGTTTATATGCTGGATTATGTTTATTGATTTGCATATGTTGAACCAGCCTTGCATCCCAGGGATGAAGCCCACTTGATCACTCTACAAGCCAGAAGAGAGTGGGGGCCAATATTCAACATTCTTAAAGAAAAGAATTTTCAACCCAGAATTTCATATCCAGCCAAACTAAGCTTCATAAGTGAAGGAGAAATAAAATCCTTTACAGACAAGCAAATGCTAAGAGATTTTGTCACCACCAGGCCTGCCCTATAAGAGCTCCTGAAGGAAGCACTAAACATGGAAAGGAACAACCAGTACCAGCCATTGCAAAAACATGCCAAATTGTAAAGACCATCGAGGCTAGGAAGAAACGGCATCAACTAACGAGCAAAATAACCAGCTAACATCATAATGACAGGATCAACTTCACACATGACAATATTAACCTTAAATGTAAATGGCCTAAATACTCCAATTAAAAGACACAGACTGGCAAATTGGATAAAGAGTCAAGATCCATTAATGTGCTGTATTCAGGAAACCCATCTGACGTGCAGAGACACACATAGGCTCAAAATAAAGGGATGGAGGAAGATCTACCAAGCCAATGGAAAACAAAAAAAGGCAGGGGTTGCAATCCTAGTCTCTGATAAAACAGACTTTAAACCAACAAAGATCAAAACAGACAAAGAAGGCCATTACATAATGGTAAAGGGATCAATTCAACAACACCTGTATCCAACTGTTCTCATTGTTTAATTCCCACCTATGAGTGAGAACGTGCGGTGTTTGGTTTTCTGTCCTTGTGACAGTTTGCTCAGAATGATGGTTTCCACCTTCATCCATGTCCCTACAAAGGACAAGAACTCCTCCTTTTTAATGGCTGCATAGTATTCCATGGTATATATGTGCCACATTTTCTTAATCCAGTCTGTCATCTGTCATTGATGGACATCTGGGTTTGTTCCAAGTCTTTGCTATTGTGAATAGTGCCACAACAAACATACGTGTGCACGTATCTTTATAGTAGCATGATTTATAATCCTTTGGGTATATACCTAGTAATGGAATTGCTGGGTCAAATGGTATTTCTAGTTCTAGATCCTTGAGGAATGGTAATTCTATATTTAACTTTTTGAGGAACTGCTAAAAAATTTTACTAAATAGTGGATATCTTTCTAAGTCCGTAAAAATAGATCTACATCACAATTTCCATTGTGTGACTAGGACGTGCCATAATTAATCTGTCCACTTCCCTATTGGGCATCCTTGTACAAATATCTTTGTGTATGTTTGTGACTATTTCTTTAGGATAAACTTCAAGAAATGGTATTGCTGGGTCAAAGAGCTTTCTCACTTATAATTTATTTATTTATTTATTTTTTTATTTTTTATTTGGAGATGGAGTCTTGCTCTCAGGCTGGAGTGTAACAGCATCATCTCGGCTTACTGCAACCTCCGCCTCCTGGGTTCAAGCAATTCTCCTGCCTCAGCCTCCCGGGTAGCTGGGACTACAGGCATGTGCCACCACACCTGGTTAATTTTTTTTTTTTTTGTATTTTAGTAGATATGGGGTTTCACCTTATTAGACAGGATGGTCTCGATCTCCTGACCTTGTGATCTGCCCACAGCCTCCCAAAATGCTGGGATTACAGACTTGAGCCACTGCGCCCGGCCCTCTCACTTATAATTTTTGACACATATTGTCAGATTGCTTTCCGGAAATGTTGTACCAGTTTATAGTCCTACCAGCCATGTATGAGTACCTGTCTTCTCTAGCCTTCTTAATACTTTGTCAGCTGTACTTTGCATTTTTGTTTTATTAAACATATTTTATATGTTTATCAGTTATATTCCTTTTGTTTTAGTTTATATATTCCCATTTGCAATTAAACATGCTTAAGCCCCTCCCATTTTAAAAAGTAAACAAATAACAAAAAAACTTTTTGATCTCACACCCATTTCCAAATACCCTAAGTAAAGTCTTCTTTGTAGAGCCAAGTTTCTTGAAAGATTGGTTTAAACTCATACTTTTTGCTTTCTTACTTCCCATTCATCCTTCAACATAGGGCAATCTGGGCTGGGCATGGTGGCTCATGCATGTAATTCCAGCACTTTTGGGGGCCAAGGCAGGTGAATTGCTTGAGTGCAGGAGTTCAAGACCTGTCTGGAGAACATAGTGAGACCCTTGTCTCTACAAAATTTTTTTAAAAATTAGCGGGGCATGGCGGTGCACACTGGTGGTCCCAGCTACTAGGGAGGTAAGAGGAGCACTTGAACCTGGGAAGCTGAGACTACCATGAGCCATGATCACACCAATGCACTCCAGTCTGGAGGACTGAGGGAGACCCTGTCACAAAACAAATAAACAAACAAAAACATAGGGCAGTCTGGCTTTGCCCCTCTGCTCCATAAAATGGATATTATGGCCAGGCATAGTGGCTCACGCCTGTAATCTCAGCACTTTGAAAGCTCGAGGCAGGTGGATCACAAGGTCAGGAGTTCAAGAGCAGCCTGGCCAACATGGTGAAACCCTGTCTCTACTAAAAATACAAAAATCAGCCACATGTGGGGGCATGCCTGTAATCCCAGCTACTCAGGAGGCTGAGGCAGGAGAATCACTTGAAACCGGAAGGCAGAGGTTACAATGAGCTGAGATCACACCACTGCACTCCAGCCTGGGTGAAAGAGCGAAACTCCATCTCAAAAAATAAAAATAAATTAAAAAATAAAATAAAATAAAATAAAATGGACATTACATCCATTCCCTTTGGATATTACACTTTTCAGTCCCTTTGAAGCATTTGATACTATTTCTTGCTTGAGTTATCTTTTCCTTTTCTTCTATTATATTTCGTTCATCTGATTTTTTTTCTTTACCTCTCAGGCCACTTTTTTTATGGTGGTAAGAATAATAACTATTATAATAGTTATACCATTAATTGAGCACCTATGCACTGTGTGTATTATATATATAATTTAATCTTTACACCATTCCCCCCCACCCCGCCCAAGTGAGCTGTGTCCTAGAGGTTCATTCTTTCTTTTTTTTTTTTTTCAATTTTATTTAAGTTCCATGATACATGTGGAGAATGTGCAGGTTTGTTACATAGTTATACGTGTGCCATGGTGGTTTGCTGCACCTATCAACACCTAGGTTTTAAGCCCCGCATGCATTAGCTATTTGTCCTGATGCTCTCCCTCCCCTTGCTGCCCCCCACCCGGACAGGCCCCAGTGTGTGTTGTTCCCCTTCCTGTGTCCATGTGTTCTCATTGTTCAACTCGCACTTATGAATAAGAACATGCGGTATTTGGTTTTCTGTTCCTGTGTTAGTTTGCTGAGGATGATGGCTTCTAGTTTCATCTATGTCCTTATAAAGGACATGATCTCATTCCTTTTTATGGCTGCATTGTATTACATGGTGTATATCCACCACATTTTCTTTATCCGGTCTATCATTGATGGACATTTGGACTGGTTCCGTGTCTTTGCTATTGCGAATAGTGCTGCAATAAACGTATGTGTGCATGTATCTTTATAACAGAATAACATATTCCTTTGTGTATATACCCAGTAATGGAATTGCTGAGTCAAATGGTATTTCTGGTTCTAGATCCTTGAGGAATCACCACACTGTCTTCCACAATGGTTGAACTAATTTACATTCCCACCAACAATGTAAAAGCATTCCTATTTCTCCACAGCCTCACCATCATCTGTTGTTTCTTGACTTCTTAATAATCACCATTCTGACTTGGCGTGAGATGGTATTCTCATTGTGGTTTTGATTTGCATTTCTCTAATGATCAGTGATGTTGAACTCTTTTTCATATGTTCATTGGCCCTGTAAATGTCTTCTTTTGAGAAGTGTCTGTTCATATCCTTTGCCCACTTTTTGATAGAGTTGTTTTTTTCTTGTAAATTTGTTTAAGTTCCCTGCAAATTCTGGATATTAGCCATTTGTCAGGTAGATAGATTGCAAAAATTTTCTCCCATTCCGTAGGTTGCCTGTTCACTCTGATGATAGTTTCTTTTGCTGTGCAGAAGCTCTTTAGTTTAATTAGATCCCATGGCTTTTGTTGCAGTTGCTTTTGGTGATTTCATCATAAAATCTTTGCCCATGCCTATGTCCTGAATGGTATTGGGTAGGTTTTCTTCTAGGGTTTTTATGGTTTTGGGTTTTGCACTTAAGTATTTAATCTATCTTGAATTAATTTTTGTATAAGGTGTAAGGAAGGGGTCCAGTTTCAGTTTTCTGCATATGGCCAGCCAGTTTTCCCAGCACCATTTATTAAATAGGGAATCTTTGCCCCATTGCTTGTTTTTGTCAGGTTTGTCGAAGATCAGGTGGTTGTAGACGTGTGGTCTTATTTCTGAGCTCTCTATTCTGTTTCATTGGTCTGTATGTCTGTTTTGGTACCAATACCAAGTTGTTTTGGTTACTGTTGCTTTGTAGTATAGTTTGAAGTCAGGTAGCATGATGCCTCCAGCTTTGTTCTTTTTGCTTAGGATTGTCTTGGCTATACTGGCTCTTTTTTGGTTCCATATGCATTTTAAAGTAGTTTTTTCAAATTCTGTGAAGAAAGTCAGTGGTAGTTTGATGGGAATAGCATTGAATCTATAAATTACTTTGGGCAGTATGGCCATTTTCACTATATTGATTCTTCCTATCCATGAGAATGGGATGTTTTCTGATTTGTTTGTGTCCTCTCTTATTTCCTTGAGCAGTGGTTTGTAGTTCTTGAAGAGTTCCTTCACGTCTCTTGTTAGCTGTATTCCTAGGTATTTTATTATCTTTGTAGCAATTGTGAATGGGAGTTCATTCATGTTTTGGCTCTCTGCTTGTCTATTGTTGGCATATAGGAATGCTGGTGTTTTTTGCACATTGATTTTGTCTTTATGGCATTTTTGTTATAGATGACAAAACAGCCTCACAAAGTTTAAATATTGTTGTAGGCAGCCTCTAAAATGGCCTAAAGTGATTCCCACCTCCTGTTACTCATTGCTCTTTTATAATCCCCTCCACTTGAGTGTGAGCTGGATTAATGACTTGGTTTTAATGAATGAAATATAACAGAAGTGATACAATGTCACTTCTTTTTTTTTTTTTTTTTTTTTTTGAGACTGAGTCTCGCTCTGTGGCCCAGGCTGGAGTGCAGTGGCGTGATCTTGGCTCACTGCAAGCTCCGCCTCCCAGGTTCCTGTCATTCTCCTGCCTCAGCCTCCCAAGTAGGTGGGACTACAGGCATCCGCCACCACGCCTGGCTAATTTTTTTTGTATTTTTAGTAGAAACGGGGTTTCACCTTGTTAGCCAGGTGATACAATGTCACTTCTGAGATTACATTATAAGAAAACTGTGGTTTCTGTCTTGGGTGCATGTGTGTTTATCCTTCTCCCACCCTCTCAACCATAATGAAAAGAAGTCTAAGCTATCCTGTGAAGAGAGGTCCTGGATAATAAAGACCACCTGGAAGAGAATTTAGGCACCCCAGCCAACAGCTGCCACCAACTGCCAGCAATATGAGTGAGACTCTTCCAGCAACAATTAAGGCTTCACATGATGGAGCTGTAGATGATAGCTTGATTGGAACCTCAAAAGAGATGCTGAGTCAGAACCATCAAGCCAACCACTCCTGAATTCCTGACCCATTGAAACTGTGGGATGTTTGCTGTTGTAAATCACTGACTTTTACTGTTTCTCTCAATCTGTTTTACAATTTTCTCTCTCTTTGCCTCTCCCTTGGAGATTTTCATCGGCATTTTATCCTTTATTTTCTTTTCCTCTCAAAATACACTCTCTGTAAGCAGTGTATTTCTTCTCCTCCCCTTCCCCTCCCTCCCTTCCCCTCCCCCTCCTCCTTCTCCTTCCCTTCTACTTTTCCTCCTCTTCCTCATTCTTCTTCTCCTTCTCCTTCTTCACCTCCTCCTTTTCCTCCTGCTTCTTCTGCTTCTTCTGCTCCTTCTTCATCTCCTCCTCCTCCTTCTGCTCCTTCTTCATCTCCTCCTTCTCCTCCTCTTCCTCATTCTCCTCCTTTCTTATTCCTTCTCCTTCTTTCTTCAACAGGGTCTCCCTCTGTCACCCAGGCTGGAGTGCAGTGGCACAATCATAGCTCACTGCAGCCTCAAACTCCTGAGCTTAACCACTCCTCCTGCCCCCGCTTCCCAAGTAGTTAGGACTACAGGTGTGTGCCACCGCACCCAGCTAATTTTTAAAAATATTTCATAGAGATGGGGTCTTGTTATGTGGCCTAAGCTGGTCTCAAACTCCTGGCCTCAAGTAGTCCTCTCATCTCAGCCTCCCAAAACACTGGGATTACAGGCATGAGCCATTTCACCCAGTCCAACTTGTATATTTTTGGTTGTCATCTATCTGCCGATGATTTTCAAATCTACATTTATAGCATTTATTAGGCCAATTTTCCCATACATCTAAATGTGCATTAGAATACTAAAAGAAAACTCAGCAAACACCATTCTGGATATTGGCCTTGGGAAAGAATTTATGACTAAGTTCTCAAAAGCAACTGCAACAAAAACAAAAATTGACAAGTCGAGCACAATTAAACTAAAGAGCTTCTGCACAGTAAAAAAACAAAACTATCAACAGAGTAAATAGACAACCCATGCAAACAATGTATCTGACAAAGGTCTAATATCCAGAATCTATAAGGATCTTAAACAAATGAACAAGCAATAAACAAATAACCTATTTAAAAAGTGGACAAAAGACATGAACAGACACCTCTCAAAAGAAGACATATGAGCAGCCAACAAACATGAAAAAATGTTCAACATCACTAATCATCAGAGAAATGCAAATCAACACCACAAAGAGATAACATCTCACACCAGTCGGAATGACTATTAAAAAAAGAAGAGGCTGGGCACGGTGGCTCATGCCTGTAATCCCAGCACATTGGGAGGCCAAGACGAGTAGATCACCTGAGGTCAGGAGTTCAAGACCAGGCTGGCCAACATAGCAAAACCCCATCTCTACTAAAAGTAAAAAATTATCTGGGCACAGCAGCACATTCCTGTACTCCCAACTGCTTGGGAGGCTGAGGCAGGAGAATTGCTTGAACCCAGGAGGCGGAGGTTGCAGTGAGCTGAGATTGCATCACTGCACTCCAGCCTGGGCGATAAAGTGAGACTTTGTCTCAAAAAAATAATAATAAATAAAAAATAAGGTCAAAAACAACAGATGCCAACGAGGCTGCAGAGAAAAGGGAAAACTTATATGCTGTTGGTGGGAATGTAAATTAGTTCAGCCACTGTGGAAAGATTGCTCAAAGAACTTCAAACAGAACTACAATTTGACCCAGCAAAACTATTACCAGGTATATAGCCAAAAGAAAATAAATCGCTCTACCAAAAAGACACATGTACTTTTATGTTCATTGCAGCACTGTTCACAATAGCAAAGACCATGGAATCAACTTAGGTGCCCATCAACAGTGGATTGGATAAAGAAAATGTGGTACATATACACCATGGAATACTACACAGCCATAAAAAAGAATACAGTCATGTCCTTTGCAGCAACATGGATGAAGCTGGAGGCCATTATCCTAAGCAAATTAACATAGGAACAGAAAACCAAAGACCAATTTTCTTATAAGTTGGAACTAAACATTGGGTACTCATGAACATAAAGATAGCAACAATAGATCCTGGGGACTACTAGAAGAGGTAGGGAGGGAAGAAGACAACAGTTGAAAAACTATTGATTACTATGCCCACTACCTGAGTGATGGGATCAGTCATACCCCAAAGCTCAGCATCATGCAATATAGCCATGTAACCAACCTGCACATGTATACCCTTAATCTAAAATAAAAGTTGGAATTATTTAAAAGACAAAAGTAATAAATAAATACAGGTTCATTAGATATTGCCACTTTAATGTATTACTAACTCTTCATACTCAGTAAGTTCAAACTGAACTCATGATATTTTCGTCCAAATCTACTACTACTCCTGTTTTCTCGCTCAAGGAATGACATCCACCAGTCATCTACTTACCTAATCTGAACTACGGAAGTCAATCTTGACTCACCTTCTCCCTCAGCCTTCACATCCAATCATTGACCAAGTCCAATTAACTTTAGTTCCATACATCACCAATGGGTTCACAGCTCTTCATCTTTACTGATATCACCTGGACTGCTGCAGCACTCTCCTGATGTATCACTCTGCCCCGTGTGTTCTCTCCCTTTAATTTAGTGTTTTTCAGACTTCTAGGTGCAACTTATCAGTGGTTCATGGAAATTAGTTTGGTGGGTTGTGACCAGAATTCTTTTTAAAATGAAATGAAATAGCATAGAAAACATTAGAGTGTATAATAGTAGGTACTGTTTGATGTGCCTATTGAGTTATAAAACATATTTCTCATTGCTGGTTTCCATCAATGAAGTTTCAAAAATGTTAGTCCATTTTTTTTGTACTGTAGCCAAAATGGTCTTTCCAGTCAGATCACATTATTCATTCCTTGTTTAAAACCCTTCAGTGACTTCTCAGTGTCTTCCTGGTAGAGTTGAAACTCCTTAACATGCCAATGTTAGGCCCTTAATGACCTCGGCCCAGCTTACCTCAAGCCTCATTTATCTTCATTCTTCTCCCTACATGTAAGCTCTAGCCAAACGAAATCACTCATAGTTCCATAAATATACTCTTAATCTTGCTTGCTCTTAAGTATCGCTATATGCCATTTATTCTTTCTGGAGTGCCTCCTTATCCCCATCTATGACTCCATATCATACTTCACGTATGTTTAGCTAACACCTTCTCCAAGAAACCTTCCTTGACTCCCAAAAGCAGGGACAGGACTATTCCTGCATGTGCCCATAGTAACCTGCATTTATCCATATCAGAGCACTTACCACATCCTATTAAAGTTGCCTGTTACTTATTTTCTTATCTTCATACCAGACTGTAAGTTTTTTGAGGACAGGGACTGTATTTTGTTCATCATTGTATCCCAAAGCCTAGTACAGTGCTTCACATGTAACATGTGCTCAATATATAGGGGAAGAAAAAGCATGTTGGACTGATTCACTGTTTTAAGGATACATAAAAATACTGCTTCACCTGGCATGGTGGTGAGCACCTGTAGTCCCAGTTACTTAGGAGGCTGAGGCAGGAGGATAGTGTGGGCCCAGAATTTTGAGGCTTGTCGTGCACTATGATCGCACCTGTGAATAGCCACTGCACTCCAGCCTGGGCAACATAGCAAGAACTCATCTCTTAAAAAAATAAACTACTGCTCAAAACAATTTGCCTGCCATGTCTATCTTGTTTTTAGTAATGGGGTGGTTCTTCTATTACATATAATGTGGTATTATATAATAATGTGGTATGCATGTTTGAAAATGTATAAAGATCTCCATTTTGCTTAAATATGATAGACTATATAAAATGAATGTAAAGTGATATCGTTATAAAGAGTATGGTATATTAAACTTACTAAAAAATCATTTGACTTTCAAATAGAAATTGCTGAATGGTTGAACTGAAACACAGATTCCACATTTATCACATTTGCTCAAATGTTTTATACTTGTAGGCAATGTTTTTAAAAGAATCTCTTCCATTTTACACTAGAATGTTCCAGAAGTAAATAATGAAAACAGTGAAATGTCAACTGAAAAATCAGAAAACACCATTATACAGAAATATAATACTGAGCAAGAAATAAGGGAAGAAAATATGGAGAATTTTTGTTCAGATACTGAATACAGAGAAAAAGAAGAAAAAAAAGAAGGCTCATTTATAGAGGAAATAATTATAGATGGTAACCTTAAAATTATATTGATATTTTCTAATTTGTATGTTGATATTTACAGTAAATATTTTTGGGAAAATTACATTCTGCCTCCCCTCTTCATGACTTATTCCTAGTCTTTTTGGATTCTGGTTTCTGCCTTCACTGTTTTGCTGAGAATGTTCTTGGAGTCACCAGTAACCTTCTGATGACCAGACCTAGGGCATTTTTCTTAATTCAGATAACCTTTCTGTAACCATTGGAATAATTTATTAATTCTTCCATCTTGAAAAAGTGTTGTTTAAAGCTGATACTGATTGGAGGTGTTCAAACTCAGGCTGAACAACCACTTGGTGGAGATGTTGTAGAGAGAATGACTGGACTTCTAAAAAGTCCTTCAAAAACCTGAAATTTATATTCTAGGTTAACTATACTAAAAAGTTGAAATCTTTGTTAGAATATAGATGAATAAAATTAATGTCTTGATTAAGTAGATATTCTATATACTTGTCCAAAACTATTCAAGAATTTAAAAATATTCACTGGGTAATGAATAAAAGTGATGATTGTCAGTCCTGAAGAAGCCAGCTAGCAATTTCTAGATACTGCTGGACCTAGGTAGTAATAGAAATTACAGCATAATCTGTTAGGATAAATTAATTTTTATCAGCTATGTATTTATGTGGAATTGTACTAAGTGTCCTAAATGAAGCAAATAGACTAGAAAAATAAACCATTTTTTAATACCTCAACTTACTTTCCGTTTACAAAACCAAAAATACTTTGCTATTATGAAATTAAAGTTTAATATGGGTAAAGCCAAATATTTAGCATGCTAAAGATATATTTGATACAATAAAGGGAACCCAGTATTTAGGTAATATTGATGTCATTAAGTTTGTATAATTATTGACCCATAAAATATTTAAGGTTAAATATGTTTTTATAAAAATAGGTGATAAATATGTCTTATGAAATCAGCCTTTAGTGTATAATATAAAATTTTACTGTGTTCCCATCATGACAGATTTACAGCTTTTTGAAAAAAGCTTCAAGAATGAAATTGATACTGTTGTTTCTCAGGATGAAAATCAAAGTGAAATCTCCTTAAGCAAAACCCTCTCCTTAGATAAAGAAGTAATTAGTCAAGGACAAACCTCGAATGTTACGGACAACAGAAAATCAGTTACTACAGAAATAAAAGACAAGATATGCTTGGAAAAAGACAATGGATGTACAGAATTTAAATCACCAAATAATCATTTTGTAGTGTTAGATACAGCAATAGAAACAGAAAAAATACATCTAGAAAGAACCAGAGGATTAGATGTTCACCATACAGATGTAAATCTGGAGGTTGAAAATAACAAAACATCATTTAACAGTATTTTAAATGAGACAGCACACAATACATATCACAATAATAATAAAGATGTTTCTGAAAATGAGCCATTCAAACAATTCAGATTGCTTCCAGGGACTCGAGAACATGCTCTAGAGAAGGAAATTACAAATAGTGACCAAACCAAAGCAGATTTGGACTCGTCTCTAGATATAAAAAAAAATCCTGTTCCATGTCAGAAATATAGTTTACGGAATTCAAGTAATGTTATGTTAGATGATAAACAATGTAAAATAAAACAAATACAACTGTTAACTAAAAAAAGTGAGTGCAGCATATTACTTTCTAAACAAACTTCAGATTTTCTGCAAGTCTGTAATGATACTTTAGAGAAATCTGAACTAACTGTTCCCTGTGATATAGTAATCGACCACCATGTTTCATATGCTGCTTTTAGTGCTAATTCAAAACTACTTCTGAAGAACTCAGATAAAAATGTCCATAGTATGTCTATGTTGGTGAAACCTAACTCAAGCCCTGGGGGAAAAACTATGTGTAAAAATATGAGTGATATGCAAAACAGTCAATTTAATAACTGTTTGGGATACTTAGAAAACACTAATGTGAACATTTCCCATCTTCATCTTAACAATGAGAATAGTCATGCTTCACAAGCCAAAGATGTGAAAACTGCTGTTCACATGAAAACTTGCACAGAAACAGAGTTTTCCAATAAAAAGAATCAGATTGATGAGAATCAGGTAACTGAAGCCACAAAAAATGACCTCTTCCTTTTTGTGAGCATTAATGAAAGACAGCATACATTGTTAAATAATACAGAGAAAACAGAATCATTAAATGACATTGTTTCAGGAAAAATGTTCAGTGAAGGACAGCTGGAGGAATCACATTCATTTCACATAGAGCCATCTGGAGATTTAGTAAACAGAAGCGGAAGGTCAACCTTTGATCTTTCAACTTCAGATAAAAAAACTGAGAAAACTCCAGTATACATGAATTTTTCAGACCCCGGTCCTTGGTCAAAAGTAAATCACATTGAAAGTCAAACAGCGAGCAGTTCGACCCCTTGCATTTCTTTGTTGCTGAAGGAGAGACCACTAGATCCATCAGAAAACAAAAAGATCATTTCAATGGCTCTTTGTAAAAATATTGGTGTGGATGATGTTGGAAAGGATATTGGACCAGGTAAGAAAACAAAGTAATGTTTTAATTCTCAAAATATTTTTCTACTTATTCTTGATAAATGTGTACAGTCATATTTTGTAAATTTTGTTTTAAAAGTTCGTCTTATTTTAAATTAGGAACAACTTAATATTCTTTTGTTTTTAACTTTTAGAGCAAATACAGTGAAGTAGTTAAGGCTTCTGCCAAGTGTGAATATTTATTGCTCTTCTTTCTATATGCTCTTCATTCATCCTTAAAAACTTCCTTCCCTTAGAACATTTTAGTTTCTCTCCTATGTTGTCTTTCTTTGCCCAATTTTCTCTCCCTTTCCTTAATTTTTCTATTTTTATCTGTCCCTTCACCCACACCAGAAATCCGGCTCTTCCTTCTGTTTTATAAGTAATAATGAGGCATAACATTAATATATTTCCTATGACCAGTATTTGTCAGTTGAAAACACTTTAAATTGAATCCCTTAACATATATTCATGCATTCAGATGTTAAAGAGAATAGAGAGATTGTTCTGTCTTAAAAACTGCCATATGAAATGGCATAATGTCCAAGTTTTATTTTAAAATACTCCAGAAAAAATGGGGGGAGAGGTAAATGGATGAAATACATATGACTTAATATTGATGGGTATCGAAGTACATGGCTGTCTATGTTTTTGTTTTGTTTTTTGCTTTATTTATTTATTATTTTTTTGAGATAGAGTCTTGCTCTGTCACCCAGCCTGGAGTGCAGTGGTGTGATCATAGCTCACTGCAACTTTAACCTCCCAGGCTGAAGGAATCCTCCCACCTCAGCCTCCTGAGCAGCTGGGAGTACAGACATGTCACTGCACCCAGCTAAGTTTTAAAATTTTTTGTAGAGACAGGTCTCACTTTGTTGCCGAGGCTGGTGTTGAACTTCTGGGCTCAAGTGATCCTCCTGCCTCAGCTTCCCAAATTGCTGGGAGCCACCACACCCGGCCTGAAAATTTTTCACAGTATTTAAAAATAAAAACATACTAGATTATCATGAATTGGTGCTGTATAAATATAAATTGAAAATAAAAAGCAGTATTTAAGAAGTATGATCATGAGGAAAATGGTTTTTTAATTGTTTTTATTTTTGGGACAGCATGTTTTCTTTTAATAGCAATCTCATAGTCAAAAGTTGCTAAGGTTGTTAAAGGCATTCTTATATTTTAAGGGAACTTTGTGGGTTTAACATTGTGCACTTAGACACCTTAAAAAGATGCAGATTCCAAGGATAGCTTTTATATGGCCCTCAGATTTAACAGGCTTCTTTTAAAAAGGAAATTGAGAAAAATTTAAAGAGACTATTTGGTGATTAAAAACAAAAACATATCTTGTTTACTACTACCAATGGGAAATAATGTAGGCGAAAATCAAATAACCAAAACACTGTATAACCTCATTTCCCAAACTGCAATTTTTCAAGGTCACAAAATATATTACTTAAGATTCCATTAACTTTTAATTAGGTATTGCTTTAGGTGCTGGTCTAAAAATCTACCATTTTTTTTGAAGTCCTTTCTTGTAATTAAATTTCAGTGATATATAAGATACAAAGGGTGATATCTAAAATTCTGTAGAAATTCAACTTGTAAAATACTCTTAAATATGCCATCAGTATCTTTTAACCTTCATAATTTACATACTTCTCTAACTCATTTCTATCAATTTATTAAAGCCCAATGTGACCCCTTCTAAACAGCCCTTTGTTGGACTTCTCACTGTGGCCAATTTCTTTAAATAGTTTATAAATCTGGTATGTAGTTGGTTCTGACTTTTTCCATTAATCTGAGTTGGTAAAATATTCACTATACAAATGCTTACATGTGTGGGAAATACAGTAACCAGGGGAATAATGATAACATTTTATGAGTTATTTTGTTTTAGAAGGTATTTATACCATTTCTTTCACTGCTTTTAATGTGGAATTACAGTAATCAGGTTTTAGAAAGTAGCAATAATAAAATCTTGTTTGTTTTCAGAAATGAAATGCCTAATTTAAGAGCAAAGTCTAGGACAACTGCAAAATATTCAACATTAAAATAGAAATTTGTTGCTTTTTAAATACAAAAGCATAGGATCAGAAACAAGTTCAGTCACTAAAATGAGTACCTAGAGAAAAATTCAGTTGTTGCCATTTCCTCTTTATCAATCAGATACTACCAGCATTAACAGAGTTGCTGACACTTTGAATAACTGGAGTATCCATCCAGATCCCAAGGGAGAACCCAGTGAAGAGAAGAATGCAATGGCAAAGACTTTTTATGATTCCTCTTTTCCCACAGAACATGTAAGTCAATTAAAAATATTGCCGAGCAGACCTTAGTGAGCTAATTCTACAGATATGTGTAGAACTGTACGCATCTGGATGCTTTAAGACCTAACTGATCTCCAAAATAATATCAAGAGGGCAACATGGCACCATTTTTCACAATTAAGGTTGATAGAAAACAGCAGGAAAAAGTCACAGTGTATAAATCAAATAGATACAATCCAGCCTGTTTGGGGAAGGAGAGTGTGAGGCATCGGATATGTACTTCTATTTCTTACTCATCTAAATTTGGAAATAGTGGTATTTGAGCATTTAAAATTTTATGTTAATAAAAGGTTATGTCTAAAAGTAAGCTAATCAAGTCCAATTGTTTTTAATAATCCTTAAGTAAATTCACATTATTTTTGGAAACTGAGATGGAAAGAATTTAAAACTATTTCAATTAGAACACGTGTGAAAGGATCAAGTATCCATGTGATACTGTATGGATATATGTATTAAAGTATTTGTAGAAATTATATGGCTTCCAGGAGTCTATTTGTCATATAGAAAGCAACTAACTATAGCAGGAAGGTTATCTGGTTAAATGTGTAAGTTTTATATCATAGTGTATAGAACTTTAAGCAAGAAAAAGGTTGTAGTGTTCAAACTATTAAACAACTTTCTCTTTAGCATATACAAAATGAATATTATAGTACTAACACATCCTTAACAAATAACAGCTTTTAACAATGTATTTTATTTTCCTTTCTAAATAGGAGAAACCTCAAGTGAGATAGTATAACTCTTCTGGGAGAGTTGAGACAAAAATCAGGAACTATCCTTGATATGGTTTGGCTTTGTCCCCACCCAAATCACATTTTGAATTGTCACTCCCACAGTTCCCATGTGTCATGGGAGGGACCCAGTGGGAGGTAATTGAATCATGGGGGCGGGTCTTTCCTGTGCTATTCTCATGACAGTGAATAAATCCCACAAGATCTGATGGTTTTAAAAATGGGAGTTTCCCTGCACAAGCTCTCTTCTCTCTTGCTGCCGCCATGTAAGAACTGCCTTTTGCCGGCCGGGTGCAGTGGCTCATGCCTGTAATCCCAGCACTTTGGGAGGCTGAGGTGGGCGGATCATGAGGTCAGGAGATCGAGACCATCCTGGCTGACATGGTGAAACCCTGTCTCTACTAAAAATACAAAAAAAAAAAAAAAATTAGCTGGGCTTGGTGACAGGCACCTGTAGTCCCACCTACTCGGAAGGCTGAGGCAGGAGAATGGCGTGAACCCAGGAGGTGGAGCTTGCAGTGAGCCGAGATCACGCCACTGCACTCCAGCCTGGATGACAGAGCGAGACTCCATCTCAAAAAAATAAAAAAAATTGCCTTTGCCTTCCACCATGATTATGAGGCCTCCCCAGCCACATGGAACTGTAAATCCATTAAACCTGTTTTTCTTCCCAGTCTTGGGTATGTCTTTATTAGCAGTGTGAAAATAAACTAATACAGTAAATTGGTACCAGGAGCAGAGTGTTGCTGAAAAGATACCCGAAAATGTGGAAGCAACTTTGGAACTGGGTAACAGGCCAAGGTTGGAACAGTTTGGAGGGCTCAGAAGACAGGAAAATGTGGGAAAATTTGGAACTCCCTAGAGACTTGTTGAATGGCTTTGACCAAAATGTTGACAATGATATGGACGATGAAATCCAGTCTGAGGTAATCTCAGATGGAAATGAGGAATTTGTTGAGAAATGGAGCAAAGGTGACTTGTTATGTTTTGGTAAAGAAATTGGTAGCATTTTGCCCCTGTCCTAGAGATTTGTGGAACTTTGAACTTGAGAGAGATGATTTAGGGTATCTGGCAGAAGAAATTTCTAAGCAGCAAAGCATTCAAGAGGTGACTTGGGCGCTGTTAAAGGCATTCAGTTTTATAAGGGAAACAGCATAAAAGTTTGGAAAATTTGCAGCCTGAACAATATGATAGAAAAGAAAATCCCATTTTCTGAGGAGAAATTCAAGCTGGCTGTGAAATATGCATAAGTAACAAGGAGCTGAATGTTAATCTCCAAGACAATGGGGAAAATGTCTCCAGGGCAAGTCAGAGGTCTTCACGGCAGCCCTTCCCATCACAAACCCAGAAGCCTATGAGGAAAAAATGGTTTTGTGGGCGGGGCTCAGGGTCCCCGTGCTGTGTGCAGCTTAGGGATTTGGTGCCCTGCATCCCAGCCACTCCAGCCATGATTAAAAGGAGCCAAGTCACAGCTTGGGCCATTGCTTCAGAGGGTACAAGCCCCAAGCCTTGGCAGCTTCCATGTGGTGTTGAACCTGCGAGTACACAGAAGTCAAGAATTGAGGTTTGGGAATCTCTTCCTAGATTTCAAAGGATGTATGGAAATGCCTGGATGTCCAGGCAGAAGTTTGCTGCAGGGGCGGGACTCTCATGGAGAACCTCTGCTAGGGCAATGTGGAAGAGAAATGTGGGGTCAGAGCCCCCATATAGAGTCCCTACTGGGGTGCTGGCTAGTGGAGCTATGAGAAGAGGGCCACCATCCTCTAGACCCCATAATGGTAGATCCACCAACAGCTTGCACTATGTATCTGGAAAAGCCACAGACACTCAATGTCAGCCCGTGAAAGTGGCCAGGAGGGAGGCTGTACCCTGCAAAGCCACAGGGGTGTGGAGCTGCCCAAGGCCATAAGAACCCACCTCTTGCATTAGCGTGACCTGGCAGCCATGCTGGATTTTGGACTTTCACAGGGCCTGTAGACCCTTTGTTTTGGCCAATTTCTCCCATTTGGAACAGCTGTGTTTACCCAATGCCTGTACCCCACCCCTCCTTGTATCTAGGAAGTAACTGACTTGCTTTTGATTTTACTGGCTTATAGGTGGAAGGGACTTGCCTTGTCTCAGATGAGACTTTGGACTTTTGAGTTAATGCTGAAGTAAGACTTTGGGGGAGTGTTGGGAAGGCATGATTGGTTTTGAAATGTGAGGATATGAGATTTGGGAGGGGCCAGGGGCAGAATGATATGGTTTGGCTGTGTCCCCACCCAAATCTCATCTTGAATTACAATTGGTCTCACAATTCCCACGTGTTGTGGGAGGAACCTGGTGGGAGGTAATAGAATCGTGGGGGGGGCCGGTCTTTCCTATGCTGTTCTTGTGATAGTGAAATATTCTTGTGATAGTGAATAAGTCTCATGAGATCAGATGGCTTTAAAAGTGGGAGTTGCCCTGCACAAGCTCTCTTTTGCTGCCACCATGTAAGAATTGCCTTTCGCCTTCTGCCATGATTATGAGGCCTCCCCAGTCATGTGAAACTGTAAGTCCGTTAAACCTATCTTTTTTTTTCCAGTCTCCAGTATCTTTATTAGCGGCGTGAGAACGGACTAATACACCCTTTTCACTCTTTCCTAATTGAGCTCATAAGCAACAGTATAGTTTCCACTTGGTGTATGTGTGTATCATTAAAATATGGTGACTAAAGGGCAGTAACTCTGGCATTGGAAAATCTAAGTCTTAACCTTGCCCAATTGGGTAAGTCATAGAATCAAAACAAACATGAAGCTTGAGGGCATCAAAGCTAAACATCCATTTCTAATTAGGGTGAATCCTTAACCCTTATAAGATAGCTGTTCTACTTTCAAACAGTGGAAATTTCACATCTCACTTGAAAGCCCATTTTTATAATTAATCTAATAGGGGAGTTCTTTTTGTCTAATTCCTAATGTTCTATCTGCAACTAATGTTGCTTTTAAGAATTTATTTTTGGGCCGGGCGCGGTGGCTCACGCCTGTAATCCCAGCACTTTGGGAGGCCGAGGCGGGCGGATCACGAGGTCAGGAGATCGAGACCATCCCGGCTAAAACGGTGAAACCCCGTCTCTACTAAAAATACAAAAAATTAGCCGGGCGTAGTGGCGGGCGCCTGTAGTCCCAGCTACTTGGGAGGCTGAGGCAGGAGAATGGCGTGAACCCGGGAGGCGGAGCTTGCAGTGAGCCGAGATCCCGCCACTGCACTCCAGCCTGGGCGACAGAGCGAGACTCCGTCTCAAAAAAAAAAAAAAAAAAAAAAAAAAAAAATTTATTTTTGGCTGGGCGTGGTGGGCTCAAGCCTGTAATCCCAGCACTTTGGCCAAGGTGGGCGGATCACAAGGTCAGGAGTTTGAGACCAGCCTGGCCAATATGGTGAAACCAGGTCTCTACTAAAAATACAAAAACTGTCCGGGTGTGGTGGCAGGCACCTGTAGTCCCAGCTACTCGGGAGGCTGAAGTTGCAGTGAGCCGATTGTGCCACTGCACTCCAGCCTGGGTGACAGAGTGAGACAGTGTCTCAAAAAAAAAAAAAAAAAAAAAAGAATTTATTTTTATAGAATTTTTAACTTTTTCATTGGCAAGGTAATTTTTTTTACAGATGAAACAGTGACATAAATGTGAAATAACTTTCCAGGGTCATTAAGACACAATATGTGGTGGACCTAGGCTAGATATTGTGGCTCTTAGTCAAATGCTATATTATACTTTCTTAACTTTCACAATAGAAAAAATGTTTCTTCTGAAAGATTGATGCATATAAAACAAACTCAATTCACTGGCTGAATAGACATTTTCTAAGTGCTTATTACTATGTGCCAAGTACTATGGTAAGCTTCATTGTCCCAGCTTAAAGCTTGATTGCAAATTATGTAATGTGGGGCAAATTCAAAAGTAGATCTCCTTATAAATTTAATAGACCACAGTCACACCCATTCCTTTGCATATTGTAAAGGCTGTTTTGGCATGGCACTGAGAATTGAGCAGTTGTAAGAGGCCATTTGGCCCACAAAGCTGAAAATATTTACTCTGGCACTTTTTGGAAAAAGTTTATCAACCTCTGTTATAAATGAATTTTATGAAGACTTATAGCCAAAAAAATAGTTTTATTTTTCAACATATTTTATGTACAGTCCACATCAATTCTGTTAAATTCAGGGAAGGTATTAAGTACCAATCCACTTTCTCTCTATGGGTCCAAAGTAACTTGAAAAGATGGTATGTTTTTCATTCTTGTTTTCAGCATTAGATTGTTAGCCTACTGCAATCTTGATTATATCCAGGAATGAGGATGGAAAACCAGAGTAAGCAAAGCAAGCCACTTACTTTTTTTTTTATATATCCAATGAATTAGATTCATTTAAGTTTAATTTTAAAATATAATCACAGGCAGAAATAAAAGGACTAGTACCAAGCTAGGGGAAATTTTTAGGCCAAAAATTAGATTTTGTAAGTCAGGCTGAAAGAGAAACAGGTGATAAATTTCTAAAAAGGATAGGAGACGAAAGAACGAAGATACAAGGCAATATATCTGAAAACAGCTAGAACTAAAATTACTGCGGTAGGCTGCAGAACCCTCAGGTAAGTTAAACAGGACAAGTTTTGTTAAGCGCAAACATTAGCTAATCTACACTGTATCTTGTTTCTCTAAAGCCAATCCCTGCTCCTACCCCTCTCAGCAAGTGGGTAGTTAAGGGGAAAGAAACTAAAGCAAGTAAACGTGTCCTTCCTTTCCATCATCAAGATAAAAAAGTCAAAGAATCAGGATTTTGGGAAACTGTTAATTTGTACTTGGATGCCAAATACACCAAAATGAACCCAGCACTTTGATGGCAAAATAGGAAATATTTATGTAGGTTTTTATCCATTACTAGTTATTCTTTCCAGTAATAGCATCTGGGAACTAAAAGAAGCTAATGAGTAAACTGAAGCCCAGAAAAATTAAATGACTTGCCTAGGTTCTCTTAGCAGTCCTGTGCAGACACTTTTGGAAGAACAAAGCCAATCAGATAAATATGAACAAAGAATCACCCCAAAGATCAGAGGTAAAACTCTCTGAGGGGACCAGTGGCTGACTATAGGATTTCAGGGAGGGAGCCAAACAGAGCAATCCAAAAGGAACACTCCTTAGGGAGCCGTGAACTTACCATTCTAAACATTTAAGTTCATTAAAAAAAAAAAAAAAAAAAAGTATTACTAGGTCGGGCAGGGTGGCTCATGCCTGTAATCCCAACACTTTGGGAGGCCGAGGCAGGTGGATCATGAGGTCAGGCGTTCGAGACCAGCCTGGACAACATAGTGAAACCCTGTCTCTACTAAAAATACAAAAAATTAGCTGGGCATCGTGGTGGGTGCCTGTAATCCCAGCTACTCGGGAGGCTGAGGCAGAAGAATCGCTTGAACCTGGGAGGTGGAGGTTGCAGTGAGCTGAGATGGCGCCACTGCACTCCAGCCTGGGCGACAGTGCAAGACTCTGTCTCAAAAATAAAATAAAATAAACTTAGTACTACATAATCTAACACTGAAAATGACAATGTTACTAACATGCCACTTTTACTGGTCAAATTGAAAAAGATTTTAATGTAAGGCAGTACCCAAAGATCTTCACAAAGATTTATGAACAAATGATAATCACTGCAGCCTAGTTAACAGTGACCATTTTCTTACAATTTAAATGTCCAGAAATAATTTGCAGAACACAGAATATGATGGAGCTATCCTCTTAACAGACTTAAGAACAGGAGGAAATGCTAAAAATGTTTAACATAGCATATAAACCAATAAAAATATGACCCCAGTATTTAAAAAGTGTATACAGAAAAGAGACCAGAAGATTTACACAAACTCTTTAATGGTGGTTGGGATCTTGGGTGATTTTAATGTAATTCTTATCCTGTTTCATATTTCTAAAATACACGTGTATATCCCTTTCAACTAAAACACAACACAGTATGGCTCACTCCTGTAATCCTAGAACTTTGGGAGACCGAGATGGTCAGATCACTTGAGCCCAAGAGTTAAGAGAGACCAGCCTGGGCAACATGGCAAAAAATACAAAAATTACCTGGGTGTGGTGGCACATGCCTGTAGTCCAAGGTACTCAGGAGGTGAAGGTGGGAGGATCACCTGAATCCAGGGAGGTCAAGGCTGCAATGAGCTGTGATTGTGCCACTGCACTCCAGCCTAGGTGACAGGGTGAGACCCTATCTTAAAAGAAAGCCCACCATAATTGTTATTTTGAAAACAATTCAGTATTCCTTTTGTTTTATCTATTATTTATTTTTGAGAGAGGGTCTCACTCTGTTGTCCAGGCTGGAGTGCAATGGCATGATCTTGGCTCATTGCAACCTTCACCTCCTGGGCTCAAATGATCCTTGCACCTCAGCCCTCCGAGGAGCTGGGACTACAGTTGCATGCCACCATGCCCAGCTAATTTTTGGTAGAGATGGGGTTTTGCCATGTTGCTCAGGCTAGTTTTCGACTCCTGAGCTCATGCAATCCACTCGCCTCAGTTTCCCAAAGTGCTGGGATTACAGGTATGAGTCACAGTGCCTGGCCCAGTATTCCTTTTGAAGAGAAAATTTTATCTGGGAATCTCTCAAAAACATCAAAGATTGTTTTGCATGAAATTAACTCGAATTAATTTTTGGTAGGGATAAACTGGAAACAAACATTCAGTAGTAGGAGATATATCAAACATCCATAAAAGGGAGTATTTTGCAGCCATAGACAATTGTTTTTAATGACCTAAGAAACTGCTCACAGAGGAAAATACATAAAATTCTATAGAATGATCAAATAGGCTAAAAATAGAAAAAAACGCTAGCAGCAAATAATACCAAAATGTCAACAAGCCTCTCTGGATAAGGGATTACTAATGATTTTTAGTTTCTTTCTACTTTACTCTATTTTCTAAATTTCCAGTAAGTATTTTAACATCAGAAAAGAACCTTAAAATGAAAAAGTTATTTAACACACTATTTTTAAAATTACCCAATACAGTGTCTTGAAAACATGCCAACTTCCAAATATCTCACTGCCCTTCCTGTTTCTTCAACAATGGTGTTCTGAAGCATGGGAGGAAACATGAAGTAGTAAAAGGCAGTTTTTGTACACTTTACTTCAGTTATATATTAGAGATTTTGAAGATCTACTACATAAGCCTACACATTCACATTGTATACTTTTCTGGTGCCAGAACTACTAAGGTAGTGGAAATCAGCCAAGAGATGGTGGTTTTACCACATACTCATAACTGCAGAGGCTTTACAGACTCTTTAAAATCTTTTGTATAATAATTTCGAAGGTAAAATTAGTTTATCTTTCCCAGGTGAAAACAAAGCCTCTGATATCAACTCCACTACAAAGCCATTTGCAGGCAATCAAGACGACTAAAAATACTTCTGGTGATGATGACTGGCAGAGCCTCATTACGAATCAACTAAATAAAAGTGAAAATTTACTAAGTTTAGAAAATGACAACCAGCCAAAGAAAAGAAAAGCAGAAGAGACGTTGGAAAAAAACAACAGATTAAAATAATGTAGATAAGTGCTTTCAGTAGTGAAATTATGTAACTGAAATTCTGGTATAGTTTTTACTAGAATAAAATGACTGTTGTATTTAAAGCTCTACAGTTTGTCTTTGCTTTTCCAAGTTTTTCTAATGTGAAGAAATTGTATTACTCTACTTCTGTCTTCTCTCTGTATATTATCCTTTCTTTAAAGTGCTCATTGCTTCTTCAATATCCTTTTTTAAAGAACAGAATTTATGTATTGTATGACAGACATTGTGACCCCTTGTAATTTATTACTTCATATCCTCTGGAGTTTGTGATTTTAGTATAAATTTGAGACAATAACTGTCCAGACTAGGCAAATTTTTTTAGTTTATAATGTTTTACTATGATTTAGGGCTTTTTTTTCAAAGAACAAAAATTATAAGCATAAAAACTCAGGTATCAGAAAGACTCAAAAGGCTGTTTTTCACTTTGTTCAGATTTTGTTTCCAGGCATTAAGTGTGTCATACAGTTGTTGCCACTGCTGTTTTCCAAATGTCCGATGTGTGCTATGACTAAAAATTGAAAAATTAAACACAGTGTTAGTCAACCTTTTAGCCTCTGGTATTCTTTTATAATACTACAGATTTGAATCCAGTTAAAAGCAAGATTAAATATACCTAATTTAGAATAGTAAGAGAATTTAAGAATTACATAATTATTTAAAAAAAATCTTTACCATATTGATCCTAAGCCTTCTAATTCTCCTGAGCAACTATATAAAGCAGACATAAAAGTCATTAGTATTCTAGCCAATGCTCAGCCATTAAATGAAATGTGCTGGAAAATAGGACTCTTTCATTAAATAAGCTAATCACATTCAGTCTGAACTTTAATAAAATTATGATAAATAGCAACTATTTAACTACAGTCAAGTGATAACACCACCTTGGTTCTCTAAACATTTAAGTGAAATAATCGGAACAAACTAAATCGTTCTATAAAATGCTGCAAAGCATTAAATATCTTACCTGACAACTACTTTTCTCTGGGTCTGATCAATTTTGCAGTAGACCATTTTAGTTCTTACGGCTGAAAAAAGATGTTTTATATCGTATGTTATATGGAAAATTTCCAAGAAAAATAGCTAAGGTATGAAAACTGTGACCAAGTAAGCCATAATAAAACTTTATACTGTTTTCCAACATTATACACTGTTTAAATCTAATAAGCAAAACAGTATGGGGCAACCAAAAGAAAGGTCATGCATTTGTCCTATGGCTGCTGGGACAATCTATATTAAATAAATACTGCATACAGTTTTTTGCTGTTTTTTTTTTTTTTTTTTTTTTAAAGAATGCTAGGTGTTCTTCCCCTACCATCTCATATAGGGGAATAAACTAATTTCCTACTAAGTTATTACTTCTTCATAGAAAACTTAGAGCATTAGGGGAAAAAAGGTCAATAGTTCTGTACCTTTTATTAATCTTAATTGCATAATCCCAACTTTCAAATTTAAAAAGCTCAGAAAAAATTCCTGAGCAGTTAAGTTGCTTTATAATCTAATTGTTGGGGAAGAAGTTCTTGTTTCTAGGCTAATCATAAAAAAACTGGTAATGGTTAACACTTGAAAGATCACTTACTATGTGCCAGGCACTGTGCTTTACCTGTATTAATTCATTTAATTCTTACAACCACAAATGAACCCCTACATTCCTGTTTCACAAAGGAAGGGCCTGGTCTTAAATCCACATCTAATACTAAAATCTGTGCTCTTAACCACAGTGGTGTATTGCCTAAACGTCTTTGTTCTACGTGATTTCAAGGGATAGAATATAGCAGTTTATATTTCTACTAAATTTTCACCCTACAACAAATATATCCACTAATCTACTAAATACACATCTGCTATAAACAAATCTTTGTTGTGTAAGGCTCAGTTTCCAGATAAAAATCTTACTATGATCCATGTAGTAGATGAGAAATTCTAGAAATAAATGAAAATGTTCTGTCTGCCTTACCGTCAATAACAAATGCTTCAACATCATCAGCTCCAATCTGAAGTTCTTGCTGCATTGTGTCAAAAGAAATTTCCTTATTTTCTACTGCCATTCCCATAAAAGTAAGTAGTCTCATTTTTGCCATATTCTGTTCATGTAACAGGCCTAGAAAACAGAATAGTGAAGCCTGATGAGTGTTCATACTAATTAAAGACCTGCACAATTACATCTCATGTTAAGCTGTGGAAATTATTTTTACTTTTGTAATTGTGGAAATTATTGTTTGAGCACTTATATAGAACAATTTTGACAAAGCTTCTTATATTTGCAAACTATAAACTGACTCCACAGAGTATTAAAAACAATTTTTCTATAGTACCATAGGTGATAGATTCAAAGTTAAGAATCGGCCATAAAATGATTATTTTTAGACCCTAAAAGTTTTGCACATTTTACATTTTTAAATAGTTATACATTTTAGGAGATAAAATCTACAAAGTACATTTCATAAGAACAATTTCTATTTAGTTAAATTACCTAAGCTTATTTTTCACACTAATAGCTCTTCATTTAAACACAGAGGATTTCTTATCTACTTATTAGTTTTTTCTGTGTTACTATTACTGGTAAACCTGAAGTTTTAAAATACTTTCACAAACATTTTCAGTTATGAAAACATTCCATTTTGCTTCAGGTCACTATTTAAAAATCAAAACTACTTACAAACCAAAACTGTCAAAGTGTGTGTGTCATTTAACATTTATAGGCCAATACAGTTAGTACTAGATATAATTAAAGAATACCATTAAAAGTGATACTTGTTCTTTATAAGACAAAAGTAGAAAATTGCACAAATAATTCAAATTTTGCATTATAATTTCTAATGAAACATGCTGTTGTAATTATTCAAATAACAACAATGTGTTAGGCCTAGAAGAAAACTTAAGGAATTACCCAGTCCTGATCCTTTCACTTTAAAAACAAAACTGAGGAGCAAAGAGATTAAATGGGGACTTATAGTCAAAAAATAGCAGTGCTAGGCCTAGAATAGGTTCATTTCTAAAATAAAGGGCTAGAAATTTTAAAAATTAGGAATCCTAAATATATAACCTAGTCCTAAGTAGGAGCAGAATTCTAACATAATATCATATATACTTGTTTTGATGCTAACTTATTAATTATAAAACTAAGTTTCTAAAACTAATCTAGATTTACATGTTCCTTTTCTCTGAACTTTTGAACTATGTAAAATCAGCAAATGATCAATCAAGTGCCCTGTAATAAATTCAGAGCTTCAAGTCTGTATTGTTTAAAAAGTTCACTCTCTAAACACTCCATAAATAAATTTTAAATTTATAACATTCATATATTAGTGGAAGATTAGGGAAGCCCATTAACATAGGACATGATCATCTGTTAATTAGCTGTAATTATGATACAGGCTTCCTATTTGGCACAGATTCAACAAAAACATGATCACCATAACTCAAATGAATGAGGTATACAAGGAAGTATTGCTAACTGGGTTTAATGGAAATCTACAGGCGCCAAGAAATCAATTAGTGCACATTAACCCTAATTAACAATGCAAATTAGATGCCGATTAACTTTCTGAAGCAAAAGGTAGCAACTGGATAACACCAGATTACATGTGGACATGTTAGGGCAATTCAGTTGACACAAGATAATGCTACTGTTGGCCTAAGTTGTCAGTGTTAATAAAGGAAAATGTTCTGACAAACTGATTGCAACTTGTGGAATCTAGATAGTTGTCACTAGGCTTTCAGCTGTAATAAATGTTTAATTATAGAATTAAAATAAAAAATATACACATTAATATAAAGATGTTTTCTGAAAAGCATATAAACAAATTTCTAATAGAATACTGATTTGCATAGATGTTCAAGAAACGTAAGGCAAATGAAGGAATTTGAATTCTAGCTGGCACAATAAATTAGCAATGTTAACGAATTTTTTCTTATCAATGAATAAGTATTAAAGATTTTTTTCAAAAATTCCTTAACATTCTCAGTTCTATTGGCATGGACAGACAACTCTCTTTCAATATAAAGTGATAGAAACTTCTGAAATTTCTATTATTTTAAATACTCCTGAAATTAAATCTATTTTACTGCTTATCTTTTCTGCAGTTACAATCTTACCATAAATGAAAAAACTTATCAGAGGAATGAAGATTATTTCTAGGCTGAATTCCATAAAACCGTTATCTATTTTACATGTGAAAACTTGCATCTAAAAACACTTTAAATTGATGTTTAAAGTAACAAAGAACCAAACTTAAAACCCTTAGGACTCTTGTTCTGAAAAATCAAACTACTAAGGCAGTGAAGTATGAGTTAAAGACTTTGTAGGAAGCTGTGCTTTGTTTCATAAAACTAAAATACTACCATCAAAGAGGAAGTCACAGTGTACTGTGTCATATTTCAATTTTAAAGTTATAAAAAATCTAATTTTATGGAAACATTTATTCATTACTAATATGTCAAAACCTTAATGCAGTAATAAAAAAAGTGCATCATTGAGCAATTTCTGCATTGTCACTGACCCCTGTCTTAAAATGCTGCAATATAGAAAACCCAGTTTTAATGCATGCAATAGCTTATGAACCAGTGCTCCTTTGAAACAGTCAATTACACATCAATGGGGGAGTGTCAAAGTGTTAATTACTACTCCTTTTTCCTTGGTGCGTAAATAAAGAGGTTGCTGACATTAACATTCCATCACATAGCTTCATGCCACAAAACAAATTAACTGGGACAGAATGTGGTTTTCTGGGTCTAGTGCACCTGGCAAAGCTTTCTACACAAACACACTTACATCTACTTTATCTTGGTGTATTTCAAATGCCTTATTATGTTCAGAATAAGTCAATCTTCCCCAATTCCAATGGAGGCACACAATTTACAGGTGACAAGCATTAATGATTACCAAATTGAAGACTATCAAAATAGACCATACATTCATCTGTATCGTCAAGAACCAGGAAGACTAGTCTCAAAAACAAAAAAAAATTCAGTCTTAATATGGAAAATATAATCAATCTCTAATGTGTTTTGATTATTGCCTAGTAGGAGAACAAAGCACCTTAGTTTCACAGTTGACTCCAGTGTAAAGAAACTGGTAGTTTACAACATTTAAAACCTGTTCAACTGCAGATTTTCTGAGTTTTCTCTTTGTATTTTAGTATGTTAAAAACATGCTCCAGAAGGAAATTAAAATATTGAACATATGTAGGGTTTGCTCAATAAGGATGAATAAGATTTGATTCAATTTGACAAACATTTACTGAACTGATACGCTAGACAAGAAAATTCAAAGATAAAAATAATAAAGACTATGCTGTTTTCAACAAACGTAGTTAGAAAAGTCTTACTATCATGTAAAATTACATTTCCATTTCTAATTCCATCTTTCAGATCTAACTGGCAATACTATATACTTTTGTAATTTGTTAATGGCGGGGGTATCCAAGCATAAAATAGTATAGTAGGGGGGAAAAAACTATTTGTTACCATTCTGTGGCTATGGCTTAAAAAAAGGGACCAAAAATACAAATCACCATATATCTAAGGAATAAAGTCTTCTACAAAGAAACAATATTATTTTAAGAATAATGTTTAGCTTAATAAAGTACCTTTAATCATCAAATTTTATCAGCTCTTAAAACATTTCTGAAAGTTACCATTATGATCAAAGTAATGGTAATTCTTTCAGTTGCTTTTCTGCTCACTCCTCCATCTCTAAATTTTAAAAACAAATGTACCAATGGAACTATTTCTTCAATCTTCTCCAAACACCCGATTGTTGATATAACTTTACCTCAAAGAATCATGGTACAGAAGAGCTGGAAGGGCCTAAAGTTCAGCAAGCTCTTAAATGAGACAAAAAGGTTCCAAGTCATTTTCTCTCTCTTTTTTTTTTGTTTTTTGAGATGGAGCCTCACTCTGTCATCCAGGCTGGAGTGCAGCAGTGTGATCTGAACTCACTGCAACCTCTGCCTCCCGGGTTCAAGTGGTTCTCTTGCCTAAGGCTCCTGAGTAGTTGGCACTACAGGTATGTGCCACCATGCCCACTAATTTTTGTATTTTTAGTAGAAATGGGGTTTTGCCATGTTGGCCAGGCTGGTCTTGAACTCCTGACCTCAAGTGATCCACCCACCTCATCCTCCCAAAGTGCTGGGATTACAAGTGCTAAGTTGTTTTCTTTTCTTTCTTTTTTTTTTTTTTTTTTTTGAGACAGACTCTTGCTCTGTTGCCGAGGCTGGAGTGCAGTGGCACAGTCTTGGCTCACTGCAACCTCCGCCTCCATCTCCCGGGTTCAAGCTATTCTCCTGCCTCAGCCTCTCAAGTAGCTGGGACTACGGGCACCCGCCACCGCGCCCGGCTAATTTTTTGTATTTTTAGTAGAGACAGGGTTTCACCATGTTAGTCAGCCAAGATGGTCTCGACCTCCTGACCTCGTGATCCGCCCGCCTCGGCCTCCAAAGTGCTGGGATTATACCTCTAAGCCACCGCGCTGGGCCCCGAGTTGTTTTCATACTCCCAGTTTCATTCTCTTTCTATCACAAATGCCACCTCCTACACCTTCTTGGTTTCTGATTCTCAATTCATTCTAAGTAATATTTTAAACTGTCTACCTATTTTTGTGCTGTTCTATCATACACGACTCCTTTTAGGATAATCTACAAATAAGGCCACAGCCATACTTGCTGGAACACATAGTACATAACTGTTAGTGTATCATGTTCCCACCTCTGTGCCTCAAAGAATAAACCCCAAAACTTACCAAGTGAATCAATGAAGTCTTTATTATTCTGATAAAACTTGACATATGATGCCAATTTAGCACTCACAAAAATGGTTAAAAGCTATACAGATAAGAGACAAAAAAGATACCATCAATACAGAATTCAGATTTATTGTAAGATATTCTAAGATATTGTAAATATTATTTTAAAGATACTGACTCCTACATTTTGTTCAAGGCAGAAATATCATTCTGTTTCATCAAATTACCAAACCATCTGCTTTCACATGGCTCACTTTTAAAATGAAATAATCAGTAAATACACTGAGCTCTAAATTATCCACACTGAAAGATGATGGCTAATGGCATAGTCCAGATGCACAACAGTCCAAAATATATTTATACTTGCATTTGAAAAATGTTCATGTGTTTTTAAATATCAGACTTATATTCCTAAGTGGGGCTAGGAACAATATATATGTAATAAAAAAGAAACTTGTATTATCTAAGTCTATAATGATGAGTAAGTGAGAAGATGAAAGAAAGGGAGGTAGCCGGGCACAGTGGCTCACGCCTGTAATCCCAGCACTCTGGGAGGCCGAAGTGGGCAGATCATTTGGGGTCAGGGGGGTCAGGAGTCGGAGACCAGACCAACATGGCAAAACTCTGTATCTACTAAAAATACAAAAATTAGCTGGGCCTGATGGCATGTGCCTGTAATCCCAGCTACTTCTCCTGGAAGCTGAGGCAGGAGAATTGCTTAAATCAGGGAGGCAGAGGTTGCAGTGAGCCAAGATCATGCCACCGCACTCCAGCCTGGTGACAGAGTGAGACTCAGTCTCAAAAAAAAAAAAGAAATTAAGAAAGGGAGGAAGAATAGGACTCTGCTCAGTGGATGAAGAAAAGCTGGTCCTAAATATGTCTGTTCCTGATATAAAAAGAATACATAGTTCTTAATCTTTCCATATCTTGCCATTAGTCACTTTTATTAATGCAAAGAAAAAGAGTCCTGCTTCAGTATGTAAAATTTAGGAAAGGAGAACATTTTTCACATTAAAGGATAAACTACTTACATCATGAATAAGCTCGCCTTCCAAAAACTTGACTGGTTTTAAAGTAAGAAGGTGGTCAAAAAGAAATGCATTTGGATCTTTCAATGCTCGTACAATACACCTTAATTAGAGAACAAAAATGTAAGCTCAGGGTTTTGAAATCCTGGCTTTTCATTGAGTTTTTGCAGATCATAAAATATACTTAATTCGGCAAAATATCTAACAGTCCAAAACATATAAACAACATTAAAAAAGCTACAGGATTGGGTTAAGACAGGCCAACACATTTATCAGGTTCATCTGTTTTAACAAAATGAAATATATTAATTGTAGATAAAAACATAGCTGGAGAGAAAGCACCAAGGTAATCAAATAGTAAGCAGCAGCAGAACCACATGCCAAGACACTAAGTGCTTCACTTGCCTTACATCTCATTTATTCCTCACAACAACCTAGGAGACAAACAGTATTACTCTGCCCCCTTTATCAACTATGAAGCAGTTCAGAAGTGCTCATTAAGAGGTGGAGTAAGAATGTGAATGGAGGCAGCCTGACCTCAAAGTCAAGGATCTTTACCACCAACTTCCCTTTTTACCAACTCCTATCATGTAGAGGTCCACACAAAGCAATGACCAAAAAAAGAAGTTTCATAATCCTTATTACATAGATTTAGAAAACTGATTCTATTCTTGTTACCAGTTAGATCTAAGACTGTTAAAAGCCCTTATACTCATTAGCAATGGGTTAATTTTTGGCAAGCCATCAACTTTCCACCTATAACCTTAAAATTAGGGTCAATTGGCCCAAGATTAGGTTCTAATTCTTGGGTTGGGATCATCATCCCCATACCAGCAATACCCCCCCCGCCAGGTAAACGCCATGCAGCTACTTCATATTCAATCCACAGTTCTTCCAATATCAAACCTTGAATTTTAGTATCTACATTAGAATCACCAGGAAATACACACTATCAAATGGCTCTGGATCACTGGTAGTTGCAAACATGATTTCAGTTACTTAATTTAATATTGTAGCTTACCTCTACATCGCTGTCAAACCCTCATCAGAGTAACGTTTAACATTACCTGTGGGCATCAACTCGAGCCTGGGAAGCATTGTCCTCTGTGTAACTTCCGAGCAATTCCACCATGACTTTTGAAGCAGCATCACTAAAAAGAAATATTGCTTTAGGAACTTGAAAGCATTACTGCTATTCATTCATTTAAAATATTTTTAAGAGGCAGGTACTGTGCTGATGACATTATAACGGTGACTAAGAGAGACAAAGTCCCTGTCTATGGGAAAAGTCATAAAACCTTCCTTTTAGTAGGAAAGATGGACAACTAAGGAAAAGTAACTAATAAGTGCTATGAAGGAAATAAATGGTGATTTAATCAAAGCAACAAGGGCAGAAAACGGAAAGGCCGCTTTATGTACAGTGGGAAAGCAGTCTCCCTCAGAAGAGATGGCAAGTAAGCTGAGACCAAAATGATGTAAAATATCCTTTTCTTGGCCATGAAAAGAGCTGGGTTCATGAAAGGTGGGGTAAGATGACTTTCCAAGCAGAGGGAAAACCAAGTATAAAGGCCCTAGGCGCAAAAAAAGTTTTGTGTCCCAGAAACTGTTAGGACAGTATGGCTGAAGTTGAGACAATACCAAATATTTAAATAACTCTACTTAAGATACCCTTCCAATTAAATTATTCTTACAGTTATATACATCAGTTTCACTGGAGTAAATAGGGCAAAATAAATAAATGCAGTCATTCAAACTGGACTTTTAGAAAATGTTTATCTTTACTCCTCATGACTTCTTTAAACTGTGGAATCTTCAGCTTATAGAAAGCTTTGCTAACTAGGAGGAAGAGGTTTTTCTTTTCCTTTTTTCATTTTCTAAAAATACTTACTCCCCACATCTGAGTTTAGCCTGGGCAAAATCAGCAGGAACTGTATCATTTATTTTAAAATGGTAAATGCTATCTAAAACTTCTTTCAAAACTAAGGTTTACTAAGATTCAGAAATACCACTGTAGGCATGGCTAAGTGGTAACCCGCATCTTAAATGTAGTGATATAAATGCCTAGGCACAGTGGCGCATGCCAATAGTCCCACCTACTAAGGAGGCTTGCTTGAGCCCAGGAATTCAAGGCTGTAATGCACTACAATTGCACCTGTGAACAGCCAAATACCCACTGTACTCCAGTGTGGGCAACATGGTCAGACCCTGTCTCTAAAAATAAAAAATTAATACTGAACTCAACCTGGAAGAGGCCATGATCCAAAGGAGCCAGAGCAGCTAAAAAAAACTGTTTATTGGTGGTCTGAGCTTTGAAACTAGAGATGGTAGTTTTAGAGAACATTTTAAGAAATGGAGCACACTCACAGGTTGTGTGGTAATCAGAGACCCCCAAACAAAATGTTCCACAAACTCTGGTTTTGTGACTTACTCTTGTGTTGAAGAGGTGGATGCAGCAATGTGTGCTCAACCACACAAGGCTGAGGAGTGCAATGGAACCAAAGACAGCTGTTTCTAGAGAGAGTTCTGTAAAGCCCAGTGCCCATCCAACAGTGAAGAAAATTTTTGTTGGTGATGTTAAAGAAGATACAGAAGAACATAATTTGAGAGACTACTTTGAAAAGTATCGCAAGATTGAAACCACAGAAGTTACAGGAGGACTGGCAGAGTGGAAAAAAGAGAGGATTTGCTTTTGTAACTTTTGATGATCATGATAAAATTGTGGTTCAGAAATAACACTCTATTAACAGGCGTTAGTGAAGTGAAAAGGGCCCTTTTTAAACAACAGATGCAGTTGTGGAGTGGATCTAGCAACTTTATGGGTTGTGGAGGAAACTTTGGAGATGGTAGTTTTGGCCATGGGTAGAAACTCTGGTGGAAGAGGAGGATATGGTGCTGGGGTGGTGGCAGCAGAAGTAGTTATGGAGGAGGGGTTGCTGGATATAATGGATTTGAAGGTGATGGTGGCAACTACCGCAGTTGTCCTGGTTTTGATAGTAGAGGCGGGTATGGTGGTGGTAGATATGGTGGCAGCAGTGGAGGATATGATGGTTACAATGAAGAAGGTAATTTGGGGAGTGGTAATTACGGTGGTGGTGGGAACTATAATGATTTTGGATATTACAGTGGACAATGACAACCAAATTATGGACCCATGCATGAAAGGGGGCAGTTTTGGTGGATAAAGCTTGGGCAGTCTCTATGGTGGTAAATATGGTAGCACAAGGTTCTAAAAACAGCAGAAAAGGGCTACAGTTTTTGGCAGGAGTGCAAGCAAGGAGAAGTCAGAAAAGCTGCAAGTTACTTTGAGGCAATCATCCAAATGCATTAGAGGAACTGTAAAAATCTGCCACAGAGGAATGATGATCCACAGTCAGAAAAGTTACTGCAGCTTAAACAGGAAAGCCTTCTTGTTCAGGACTGTCATAGCTACAGGTTGCAAAAAGTGCACTATTGATTAATGCAGTGTAGTGTCAATTAGATGTACATTCCTGAGGTCTTTTATCTGTTGTACCTTTGCCTTTTTCTTTTCATTACATCAGGCATGTTACCCTGTAAATTATGGTAGTGTAGTGGTACCAGGAATAAAAAACTAAGGAATTTTTAACTTTGCAATAAAAATTAAAATTAAAAAGTATAATGACTTAACTATAAAAATTCAAAGAAAAACTTTTAAAAAACCACATCTTACTCATTAGTTATCTTGTGCCACACTGTAAGCACAGGTGCAAGTCATTTTCCAGTTTTAGCAACTACAGTATACTTCAACCTTCTCAGCTAAAGAAATCTTTTTAATCCACTTGAAGCACACAGCATGGTGTCTGACATGTAAGGGCTTAGTTACCAGTAACACCCTTTAAAATGCACAACAGGCCTGGTGCGGTGGCTCACGCCTGTAATCCCAGCACTTTGGGAGGCGGAGGCGGGAGGATCACAGGGTCAGGAGATCAAGACCATCCTGACTAACACGGTGAAATTCTGTCTCTACTAAAAATACAAAAAATTAGCCGGGCGTGGCGGCGGCAACTGTGGTCCCAGCTGCTCAGGAGGCTGAGGCAGGAGAATGGCATGAACCCGGGAGGTGGAGCTCGCAGTGAGCTGAGATTGCGCCACTGCACTCCAGCCTGGGCGACAGAGCAAGACTCCATCTCAAATAAAAAAAAAAAAGCACAACAAACACCATGTGCATCAACCACCAATATAAATAAAGTCATGAAGGGGGCACCCATAAACTTGAAGCATTTTTACTTAACTGCTAGGTAAAATCTCAGAATTTTACTGATTAAAATATGTATTTTATGTGTTCTAAAGAAGAAAACCAACTCTCAACATTTAGATTGGCAGAATGTCAGAAATGTCGTGTTTAAACAAGTATCCCCTTCCAGTTCCCTACTGTGGGTAGCATTTATCCACTCAGTGCCCAATAAGTGCTATCTTCTTGGGAATGCAATGGTTTACAGATGAGGTTCCTTGCCTTCACTTAGCCTACAACCTTACTTTCAACTAAGGGTGTTAAATGCTAGGATACAAGTAGAGGGTGCTGTAAAAGGGAGGCACTAACCGAAATATGAGAGGGGTGTTTCTGGCAGAGACATGAAGCTGACTATAGTAAGACTACTTAGACAAGGGGTAGGCAAACGTTCTATAAAGGGCCAGAGAGTAAATATTTTAAGCTTTGCAAGCTATATGGTATCTGTTGTAACTAAACTCTTGGCAAAAGCAGGCACAGACAATATGTAAATGAATAGGCATGGATGTAATACCAATGTTATGGACCCTGAAATCTGAATTTCATATAATGTCCACATATCATGAAATATTACCCTTTCTTTGATTTTCTTTCTCAATCATTTAAAAATGTTAAAACCATTCTTAGTACACGGGCTATAGAAGAACCAGTGCCAGCTCCTGGTCCAGACTGGCAAAGAGCATGGTGCTTTTATACCTGACATAGGCTCGCTGGGTCTAGAGTGTGATAAGCAAGAGGAAGGACATGGGTGGAGAGATGGAATATTTACATTAACACAAAGTTTTTTGTAGTCTGCCACTGCACCATCCAAAAATGATGAGATGCTTCACCACATTCACCAAGCTCATGCTACAGCAGTAGGTTGAAGCCCATGTTGGAAAGGCCCCACCTTTCTTTTTTTAGAAAAAAAGCCAAATTTCACTTTTTAAAAAGTTCAAAGATGAGGGAAAACTACTTTTAATCTTTATAGTTATCTTTAACTTTAGGTCAAATTTATAGAAATAGATTTATAGCAACTCTGTGGAGAACAGAGTAAAGCAAAATTACTGGCCCTACTTCTCTTTAAAAAACATCCCCACCTACTTATACTGTCTGTTAAGTGATATGTTAGTTCATTACTTTTGAATACCTCTTCTTACAATCCACAAGTGCCTCATAAAGTAGTCTTAAAAGGGTGTGCTTTTTTTCAGTGGTGAGATTCCAGTCAGAAATCCATTTTCTAACCTACAAGAGATTGACAAAAGGAGAAAACTGAGTAACACATATAAAGTATAACATATAAAAGTACATTTCTGGCTGGGCGTGGTGGCTCACGCCTATAATCCCCAGCACTTTGGGAGGCCAAGGCAGGAGGATCAACTGAAGTCGGGAGTTCGAGACCAGCCTGACCAACATAGAGAAACCCCGTCTCTACTAAAAATACAACATTAGCCGGGCGTGGTGGCGCATGCCTGTAATCCCAGCTGCTCAGGAGGCAGAGGAAGGAGAACTGCTTGAACCCTGGAGGCGGAGGTTGCGGTGAGCTGAGATTGCGCCATTGCACTCCAGCCTGGGCAACAACAGTGAAACTCCGTCTCAAAAAAAAAAAAAGTACATTTCTTATAAGCAGAACAACTATTCCACACAGTAACTCACTTGATCCAGCTCAGTTGGGATGTACTGGATGGCCCCACAAGATGCTGCCACTTTAATAAGGCTGCAATACACTGTGTATCTTACAGGAGTATTCTTATCCATCCCGTGGAAAAGGTTGCTTAACCTGGTTGGTTAACAAACAAATAAACAATGTTTGAAATCAGCAACCAGTTTTAAGTTGAGGTTAGCTCTCACCACAAACCTGTGGCAGGTACCGTTAACAACTTCATATTACAAAGGAGGAAACTAGGGCACAGAAAGGTCAAGCCACTTGCCCAAGGTCACAGCTAATATGAGCCACAGCTGAGAGTCAAGTTCCAGAATTCCTGCTCTGCACCATTAAAAGTTAGTAACATGAAAAAAGCACCTAGAAAAACTGAGTTTCTTTCAGATCTTAACTTACAACTGCAGTCTCAGAGACGGGCGTTCACCTTCGCGAAATTTGACCAGCTTTTCACATAGGCTTTCAATCAAAGCTTCTTGCTTGTCTGGTTCCAGGATCAAGAGTAGGGATACCACACTGTTCATCACACTTTCAACATCTACACAAGTATGGATAACACAATCAACAGTGATACTACAATACTCAATGCGTCTAGTTAAATATGCATTTCCAGTGTTTTAATACAATGAAGACCATCAAATGTAAGACACTTTCGCATTCAGAAAGCAACTTGTATATTTTATTAAAGAGGAAGGAAATTGATACCTAAGATGTGGTTTCTTTTTTTTTTTTTTTTTTTTTTTCAGATGAAGTCTTGCTCTCTTGCCCAGGCTGGGGTGCAGTGGTGCGATCTCGGCTCACTGCAACCTCCGCCTCCCAGGTTCAAGCGATTCTCCCGTCTCAGCCTCCCAAGTAGCTGGGACTACAGGCACCCGCCACCACGCCCGGCTAATTTTTGTATTTTTAGTAGAGACGGGGTTTCACCATATTGGCCAGGCTGGTCTTGAACTCTTGACCATGTGATCCACCTGCCTCGGCCTCCCAAAGTGCTGGGATTACAGGCGTGAGCCACTATGCCTGGCCTATGATGTGGTTTCTAACTAGTAAAACAGAGACTGATTTACATGTATATAAAGTTTCAATTTTCACTGTCATGATATTCAATCATTTGGAAGTTACTGGTATGATTTAGGACTAGGATACTTTCTTAATTAAGGAAAACTTTGTGTATACATATAGGAAATCAGAAATTAAAGCTGTCAGCTCTCTGCTTGAATTAGTTATTTTTAAGTATTACAGATATTAATCATATCCCAAATTTAATCTAATTTTTTTGTATATGTGCTGCCGAAATCAGCATCCAAGTTTGATCTCTAAACCTTAACTAGAGATTTCCGAACTCAACAATTCTGAAAATTTCCCATTCTATCTCAATAAACAGGAAACTGGCCTAATAATTAAATGGCTATTAGATTACTTGAAACTGTATCCCATTTGATGTTAATCTGAAACTTATGAACAGGAAAGAGCTTCATTTTTTTCATTTTATTCTAAGACTATAAGCATTTAGTGTAATAACACTTAAGAAATACACCTATGTATAAAATAAAGGTTTTCTCAAAATAGGTTTACTTTATAGGTATAATAGATTACACAAACTGAAAGCATGTGTGAAGGTAAGATTGAAAACAACAGTGCTTAGACTCTGGTTAACAATGTATTGTATAGTTGAAAGAGCTAGAAGAGAACTGTTGAATGTTTCCAACATAAAGAAAAGATGTGTGATATTCCAATTACCCTGATTTGATAATTACACATTGCATACATGTATCAAAATATCACCTGTGCCCCCAAAATACATACAACCACTACCTATCTATTTAAAAGTCCTGTAGTCTGAAATTCAAAACATATAAATACAGTCAGCCTTCTGTATCTGAGGGTTCCAAATCCTCCTTGCCTCAGATAATGAGGGACGACTCTATAATTCACAAGAAAAATTTAAAAGATTTTATTAGGAAATATTAGAAAAAAATTAAAAACAAACCTTTATCATCCTCCTTCAGACACACATCACAGGCTTCAATAATTTGAGCTAAATCAACATGAAGTCCACCTTCCGAGTTCTCTTCTGAAATCTCAGCTCCTTTAGATTTCAGATAAGCACGAAGCTCAGCAGCCTGTTGAGGATTGCTCTATTATAAAACTGACTACGAATGACAAAGCACAATCTCAAATTCTGTCCTCTTTCTGAAAAACTAAAACGGAAATACTGTATTCAACAACTATTTCAAATAATGTTGAAGACCCCTCCCTCACCTCATCCATCTTGGCAATCCCACAAGAGCCACAGGTTTTCCTCCATGAGGTCCAGTGGCTCCTTAGACACACTACAGCCCCCATGGATCACCTTCAGAATTTCTCTCATGTAGTCTGCACCCTGCTGGACTTCCAGCATACAGCAAAAATCTTTTTGATAATATAACCCAAAGGGTTTGGTGGGGGTGTGGTTGCTGGGGAGAAGAAATCAATCTGACTTGGCAGATTTCATTTTTTTGAAAGAAATGAACAATAGTATTGCTCTCAAGTACACACATAACCACAGCTACTAGAAAAGTTACAGACATTACCTTGGCAAAAGGGTAATCATTTGTTAATCAGTTGAGAAGCTATTTGAGATAAGCATTTTGGTTCACAAAAGGGCAATGCGGTGAATGCTGCCTTAAAATTACATCGAACTGGATCTGTTATGTAACTAATCTCTTAAAATTAAAAATGCATATCTGAGTCAGCATGCATCTTCGGACCTATAAAAACACAACTACAATAGCACATTCAGTCACTTGGACATTTCCTACCCTACTACCGAATTATATATATTTATTCCATTTTTCTTCTGGGACTCTTTATGGCAGCCAAACAAACGCAGTTTTTTTTTGTTTTGTTTTGAGATGGAGTTTCACTCTTATTGCCCAGGCTGGAGTGCAATAGCATGAGTGCAATGGAGCGATCCCGGCTCACTGCAACCTCTGCCTCCGGGGTTCAAATGATTCTCCAGCCTCAGCCTCCCAAGTAGCAGGGATTACAGGCATGCGCCACCATGCCCAGCTAATTTTGTATTTTTAGTAGAGGCAGGGTTTCATCATGTTCGTCAGGCTGGTCTCAAACACCTGACCTCCGGTGATCCACGGGCCTCGGCCTCCCAAAGTGCTAAGATTATAGGCGTGAGCCACCGTGCTCAGCCTGGTTTTAAAGATAATAAAATGAGGATGTGCAACAGGAATATGAAAGGATACCATTAGTAAATGCACAGGCATTACATTTTCTAGACCAAGCCAAAAAAAAAAAATTCAAAGCCATCAAGATTTTTAAACCCCCAAGTATATTTAGTTGCCTCAGGAAAGTATTAAACCTGCAGATCTGACGGTACTATCCTTTCAGGTAACAAGAACACAGTAACTTCATAGAAGAGTTGGTATTATAAGCAAAATTAAAAAAAGAAAACAAACTGTCACCATGTCAGAGAAAACAAAAATACCTCCAGAAATCATGCTTCATGCTTCTCTATGGAGGAAACAGATACACAGCAAACTTTTTCTAAGAACTATTGAACCACGTTTGCTGTTTTTCTGTCATCCTCACTGCCACAAGTGGTTGTGGAAGCAGCATAAGCAAAGGAAAACAAAAAAAGATAAAGAATTCCATTTAACTCTAATCAAGCTGAGAATTTCACCAAAGTTAAACTAATCCTGAGCAATTTCATATTTCCCTGAAAGGACTGTCTACAGCGATACTGATGTTACAAGAACAGAAGCAGAGCCTGAGAAAAGACACTTTAAGATACGATCAATGACAAGAACTTCCTCCATTCACTTTGTATGTTAAAAAAAAAAAAATTCCAAACACTTTCTCAGTTAACCTAACAGCCAACTGTTGGTAACATGCTTCCATTTCTAATCAGGTATCTTTTTGTCTTTCATATCTTCCTATCTGTGCTTAACCTCCCCATCCTTGACCTTTTCTCCGCCTTTTGCATTTTCCCTTCTTACTTTGCTCTTCAGAGCATCGGAACTGCATTCCTACCATGGGGCGGGGGGAGGAGAGAGGGGGAACTCACTCCCGCAATTCTGTAAGTTGTCTTAGACAAGTAAACTTCCATGCGAAGTTTATGATATCCAATCATTTGGAAGTTACTTCCGTGTTAGTGGAGTAACAGAAATAAAACGACAAAGTTAGGACTTCACAGAAGAATTTTCAGCAATACAAAATTAACTTAAAGAATACGATGTCGTGTTCAACTCCTACCAAATAAGGTTAAACTTTTGTTATGGGGAAAATGAGAACCATCAGCCCTGTATACCAAAGAGCAAACGCCAAACGGGAAATTTAAAAATATCAGGATGGTCCATCAGGTGTATGCCTCACAGAATTTAAGAGCTGAACTGATACCATACTTCCGGGGTACAGAACAACTCTCACCCTCATACAAGTAGGAATAGAAAGCAAGTGTAAAATACGGGTCGTCTTCGCCTGTGATCGCACAGTAATACGGGCGTTTTGATCTTTTTTTTTTTTTTTTTTTTTGAGAGGGACTCTCGCTCTGTCGCCCAGGCTGGAGTGCAGTGGCGCGATCTTGGCTCACTGCAAACTCCGCCTCGCGGGTTCAAGCGATTCTCTTGCCTCAGCCTCGGCAGTAGCTGGGACTACAGGCGCGTGCCACCGCGCCCGGGTAATTTTTTTGTATTTTTAATAGAGACAGGGTTTCACCGTGTTAGCCAGGATGGTCTCGATCTCCTGACCTCGTGATCTGCCCGCCTCGGCGTCCCAAAGTGCTGGGATTAAAGGCGTGAGCCACCGCGCCCGGCCCGGCATTTTGATCTTTAGCACAAAATTACTTTTCCCTACCCTGCTTATGCTAACTACAGATTCACCACCTCCCACTCCGAATGTGGCTGCATTTGACGGACGGAAGCAGACATCATTCCTCATCAGTCTAAAAGTACTATGTCGTCAGAAATGAGTCCCGACGCCGACCAGGGAGCTGGCGGTGAAGCGTCGGGCCCCGCGCTGGGACCGCCGGCCGGCGAGCTGGTGCGAATCGAGGCCAGGAACGCGCGCCCCAGCCACCGGCCTCCCCATTCTCGCGTGTAGAACAGCTGCGGGTGTCAGCCCCGGCCGCCCGGCCCAGGCTCGGCAGCGGTCCCTTGCGCTACTAGGACATCCCCCACCCCACCGTGGCGGCACCCGTAGACCGAAGCACACCTGATCTTCTTCACTGATGTCGATGAAGGCCGGGACGCTCATGGTGCAGGCCCGGGCACAGCGGACACTCCACTCGCAAGACCACGCCGACCGGAAAAGGGAACTGGGCCGCGCGACGCTGCTGGCGCAACTGCTTCCGGGTCACCCTGAGCGGCGACCTGTTGGGGCGGGGCCTTGAGAGCCAATCCTATCGCGCGCTCTCGCCGCGGAATGCAGCAGGGCGTGGCAGACGCGCTCGGGCTGGCCTAGTGGGTGGGACTTACTGGGCCTCCACTCAGCGACGCTTGTCGCGGCCTCCAGTTTTCAGGCCCGTGTAGCTAACTGCATTGATGTTGCCTCCCGCTGGCGCCTCCCTAAGTCCACCTTCCCTTGAAATGTTAAGCTTGTTGGGTCTTACCAAGTATGGATGGGTTTGTGTAGACCTGAAACTCTCCTGTACTGCTGTTGGGAACATAAAATGGTGCAGTCACTTTGCAGAGGAGCGGCAGTTTCTGAAAAAGTTCAGTATCCACCCAGCATATGACCCAGCTATTCTTCTACCCAAACTGTATGTCCGTACAAAGACTTGTACAAGAATGTTCATTGCCGCTTTTAAAAAATAGCAGCTTTGGCTGGGCGCAGTGGATCTCACGCCTGTAATCCCAGCACTGTGGGAGGCCGAGGTGGGCGGATCACTTGGGGTCAGGAACTGGAGACCAGCCTGGGCAACATGGCAAAACCCCGTCTCTACTAAAAATACAAAAATTACCGGGGCATAGTGGTGCGCGCCTGTAATCCCAGCTACTCGGGAGGCTGAGGCAGGAGAATCACTTCAACCTGGGAGAAGGAGGTTGCAGTAAGCCCAGATCATGCCACTGCATTCCAGCCTGGGCGACAGAGCGAGACTCCGTCTCATAAAATAAATACACAATTCAGTAGTTTTTAGTATTTTCAGAGTTGCACAACCATCACTACTATTTAATTTTAGAACATTTTCATCACCTACAAAAGAAACTACCCATCAGCAATCACTCCCCAGACCCCCGGCCCCACCTCTCTCCAGCCCCTGGCAAACACTACATTTTGTCTCTATGAATTTGCCTTTTCTGGACATTTCATGTAAGTGGAATCACAAAATACACGGTGGCCTAAGTCAGACTTACTTCATTTAGCATAATGTTTTCAAGGTTCGTCCATGTATCCCTCCTATATTCCTATTTATTGCTTATAATATTGCATTGTTATGGATATACCACATTGTGTTGATTTGTTCATCAGTTGGTGGACACTTGGGTTGTCTCCATTTTTTGGCTATTATGAATAATGTTTCCATGAACGTTAGTGCACAAGATTTTGTGTGTACGTATATTTCTCTTAGGTATGTACCTATGAGAGGAATCAGTGGCTTATTTAGTAAATTTATGTTTAGCTTTTTCAGGAGACAGTTTCCAAAAAGTTAACACTTTATTTTCAATAGCCAAAAAAAAGGAAACAACCCAAATGTTCATCAATAGATGAATGAAGTGGATCAAAAAATTGTTATACATCTGCTTAATGGAATACTGCTGTGCAACAAAAAAGGATGAATTATTGATACATGCAAAAACACAGATGAATCTTTTTTTTTTTTCAGTCTCTTCAGCCTGGGTGACAAAGTGAGTGAGACTCCATCTCTTAAAATAAAAGCTTGATTTTTTTTCTTTAGTTGACAATCCCAAAATAATTCAAAATAATTTTGTTCAGTTAATCATCATACTGTATGATTCCATTTATATAAAACTCTAGAAAGTAGAAACTATAATGACAGCATTATAGATTGCTGTTGCCTGGGGGCAGGGATTGGGTAAGGCGGGGGGAAAGATGGATACAGAGGGGCTTGAGGAAGTTTTTGGGGGTTATGGATGTGTTCATTATTTTGACTGTGATTGTGTCATGATTGTATACATATATAACATTTTTCAAAGTGTGCAGTTCAAAAATGTGCAGTTTATTGATACCACAATTATACTTCAATATAAAATAAATGCCAAGCAAAGGAAAAAAACAAGGTTGAGGGGATAGAGGACACAAAACATCTGGCTAGACTAAATTTGAAAGGATTCATTCTTGCATGGAATAGCCTTAACAATGTGGAAAGTGAAACTGAAGGCAGGGAACCTGTGTCATGTTCACCCTGCATTTCCGCACCCACCTCAGTGCCCAGCCCACAGCAGATCATCAGGAAATACCAGTTGATTCTGAAGGAATAATCCCTGGGCTCCTCCCCTCGCCTTATTATTGCAAAGTTCGAGGAATACAAACTCAACAATACAATACCATTTTATCAAATATTTAAAAGACTTGTCTCTTTTTTACTATTGTTATTTTTTTTTTCATTCTGTGATCCTTGTGAAGTAAAAGAACACCCAGGGAAATTCTTGAGAGAGGATATGGACAGTTATTTAAAACTTTAAACTTTCATTCATTCAAAATAAACACACACACACACACACACACACACACACACACACACACACGATGGAGGTGTGGTAGGCCCGAGTAGTCTTGGGAAATGCAACATTTGAGTAGGAAATGCGGAAATGCCTGTCCTCAGTTATTTAAAACTTTAAACTTTCATTCATTCAAAATAAACACACACACACACACACACACACACACACAGGATGGAGGTGTGGTAGGCCCGAGTAGTCTTGGGAAATGCAACATTTGAGTAGGAAATGCCTGTCCTCACCTAGGTCAGGATGAATCTTGTGAGACAAAGTAGCAAACCTAAGAAGGAATGTTTGCTCATTCTGTTTGCCAGAGAATTTCGCAAAGCCCCTGACTCAGTGAGTGAGGGCAACCCTCTGGAAGAATACCCTAAAGATAAACAGGATAGAGCACAGGTCCCCATTCTCTTGCCTGAATCACTGCAGTTTTAGAAAACATAAGTTCAATGATCCTAGCCTCTGCCTCTTCATGTGCATGGGTATAATGCACACCCATGTCTGACAGCAATAATGATTATGTCTCCATAATCTATAACCAGATGGACCCTGGCACCCAAACCATGATGTGATTTCGCTCTAATGTAACTTCTGAGCACATTTAATGTAACTTCTGAGCACAGGCAGAGCCACCACTGATGTACACAAACTGTGTGCGGAAACACTGCTTTGGAGCAGTTTAACAGAAACTCTCTGGAAGACTCTCTGGGTTGCAATCCTCGGTAAGACCTCTGAATAAAACTAACTTTAATTCTTTAAAAGCTTGGCTGGTGCGGTGGCTCATGCCTGTAATCCCAGCACTTTGGGAGTCCAAGGCAGGTGGATCACTTGAGGCCAGGAGTTCCAGGCCAGTCTGGCCAACATGGTGAAACCCTGTCTCTACTGAAAATACAAAAATTAGCTGGGACCTGGTAGGCTGAGGCAGGAGAATCACTTGAACTCAGGAGGTGGAGGTTGTAGTGAGCTGAGATCACGCCACTGCACTCCAGCTTGGGCGACAGAGTGAGACTCCAAAAAAAAAAAAAAAAAAGGAAAAGGAATCACCAGGGAGTTGAACAAAGCCCCACCATCTGCAAGGCAGTATTATCTTAGTTTAATTTTTACCTGAAAAATACAACCAAATATGTACAGTTTTTCTTTATTGTTTAATTTGTCTATGTTCCCTTTGTTATCTCCTTTCTGATTAAAAATTCCGGAAAATGTGGATTTAACTATGTTTTTAAGTATTCTATTTGCAAGAGCCATATTAATATATTTGCTTGAAATTGTATTATTGGAGCAAAGTTATATTTTTTACAAGAATGCTTTGCATGACAGTAATATCTAAAATTTGTTTTCAAGTCTGTATCAGCATCTCAGAATGAGGCAATTATTCATCTGATAAACGAAAGTATATTTTTATGCTAAAATAGTATATGTGGCCAGGTGCGGTGGCTCATGTCTGTAATCTCAGCACTTTGGGAGGCTGAGGCAGGCAGATCACCTGAGGTCAGGAGTTCGATCAAGACCAGCCTGGCCCCCATCTCCACTAAGAATACAAAAATTAGCTGGGTTTGATGGTGGGTACCTGTAATCCCAGCTACTTGGGAGGCTGAGGCAGGAGAATCGCTTGAACCCGGGAGGGGGAGGTTGCAGTGAGCTGAGATCGCGCCACTGCACTCCAGCATGGACGACAAGAGCAAGACTGTCTCAGAAAAAAAAAAATAGTATATGTAGTTGATTACCTAAATACTAAGACTATGTATAGAGGGTAATCCATTCTAAATAGGTGTCATTTATAGTATATTAGCACATCATACTTTTACTGAGTTGATGAACTATGAGCTCTGAAAAAGTGGGGATGTGTTCATTATTGCATCCCATCCCTTTTTTATCAACGTGCCTGATAGATGGTGCAATAAGTATTTGTTGTATTAGTGAATGATACTCTAAATGTTAACTCGCTAGATAGATTTGCGACAAATCTTTGAAAATTGCTTTAAATTTTAATTTTGAATGAAAAAAATTTTAATTTTGAATCAAAATGAGTGATCACAACATTCTAGGAACCCATGGAAAAGATTTTTTTTAAGCATGGCAAAGACTGTCAACCTGACATCCGCCCTCTTATTCCTTAGCAGCAGAACTAAGGTGTAGTTGTAGGTGCCACAATGCACCCTTCTATGATACGAAATTGATAAGCTTTCTTATAGCTAGGTGTAGCTGGTGAGATGTGGATGGAAATTTTGAGAGCAGCTTCTGGCAAAGCTCTTTCTTGGAACTGACTCTTTTGCCCTTGCCCCCCACCGCCACCCTCCACTTTTTTTTTTTTTTTTGCCTAAAACATGGACTTGATGGTGGGTGCTACAGCAACCAAACTAAAACCAAGACGTGGCCTTGGTGGAAGCCATGTGGTGGAGAGGAAAGACGGAAGGAGCCCATATCCCTGATGACATTAGGAGAGTGTGATGCCAGCCCATGACGGCCTACCCATGAATTTATTTTACATAAGAGGAAAATAAACCTCCATCTTGTTTAATGCACTATTATATTGTTTTTTTCTTGTATACAGACGAAACTAATCTTGATTGACACAGAGAAAAAAGTTTGAAGTCTAAAGTCATAATTTTGTAAATAAAAGGTTTATGTTAGTGCAAGTTAACAAATTTGTATAATGCATATTGATGGTGGGAATCTTGGAATCTCTCTTAATGCTGTTGCAATGTAACATTGAATTTACAAAGCTACCATCTTAGGATCTCAGAGATTTATAGCTAATAATTAAATTGTATACTAGCGATGCAACATATGATTGCACTGACTTTATAGGTGAAACAAAGGATATTTAAGGCAGTTGATTGGTGACTTACTGAAATATATTGCACCTGAGCAGTAGATCCAGCAGTAGAACTCATGCAGCACCTTAAATCTCAAACACTTTGACCATTAGAAAGCATTCATTTTTACATTAGTCTTCGTATTAAAATTCATGAGGTTAACCTCCTCACTTCACGTGATATAAGCATTTATTGAAACATTCATAAATTTGTTGAATCTGAGGAAGACATATTCATCATTCACGCTTTTAAAATGATTTCAGCAAGGCTTGTCTATACCAGAGTAGAAAACTTAATGCGCTAGGGAAAAGGTTTAGCAACTGCAAACAATGCAAATGCAAGAGTAATTTTATGAGCTAATAATTTTTATATTTTTGGGAAAAAAACTTTATTATTTTGAGCTCCTGTAGGCGCCATACTAACCACAACTCTGTGAGAGTTTGTTGTTGTTGAGATGAAGTCTCTGTCGCCTAGTCTGGAGTGCAGTGGTGCAATCTCACCTCACTGCAACCTCTACCTCCCGGTTCAAGCGATTCTCCTGCCTCAGCCTCCCAAGTAGCTGGGATTATAGGCGCGCACCACCATGCCCAGCTAATTTTCGTATTTTTAATAGAGACAGGGTTTCACCATGGTGGCCAGGCTGGTCTTGAACCCCTGACCTCAAGTGATCCACCAGCCTCAGCCTCCCAAAGTGCTGGAATTACAGGTGCGAGCCACCACACCCAGCTAATGTTGTTTTGTTGTTTTGGTGTGTGTGTGGATGTGTGTGTGTGTGAAGATGAAGCAATAGAGGCTCAGAGGAGTTAGGCACCTCTGCTACTAAGAAATGCAGAGCATTGGCCAGCAATTCCTGTTCAGGTCTGTCTCATTTAATAGCTGCTGTTCTTGTCTCTTTCCTTTTTGGTGATTTCACTTTAAAAATAGAATGTAAGACTTCTTTATGTAAAACATATACTTTTAAAATAAACTTTTGTATTGAAGTATAACTTATAGTCAGATGCACAAATTATAATAAGCCTACCATTTGGTGAGTTATCACAGTGAACATACGCAAGTACTCATCATTCAGGTTTTTTTTTTTTTTAAAAAGAGCATTCATTAGCCATCAGGGAAAGGCAAATGAAAATCACAGTGAGATAACACTTTATAAAAAAAGACAATAGCAAGAATGGCTATCATTTAAAAGTTTTTCTCTTTTTTTGTTGTTGTAGTGACAGGGTCTCACTCCTATCACCCAGGCTAGAGTGCAGTGGTGCAATCTCAGCTCAGTGCAGTCCCCACTTCCCAGGTTCAAGCGATTCTCCTGCCTCAGCCTTACAGTAGCTGGGATTACAGGCCCCGCCACCACTCCCGGCTAATTTTTGTATTTTTAGTAGAGAAGGGGTTTCATCATGTTGGCCAGGCTGGTCTCAGACTCCTGACCTCAGGTGATCTCCCCACCTTGGCCTCCCAAAGTGCTGGGATTACAGGTGTGAGCCACCACACCTGGCTAAGCTTTTAAATGGAGGTATACTTGGAGGAGGCTTTACCCTTTTGCCTTTCCCCTTCTTCCTACCTTGGATGTAGACGTGGAGCTGGAGGTGGGGCAGCCATTTTGCAGCCTGGTGGTAACACGCTGAGGAGGCTGCATTCTGCATGCTAAAGGATCACCTAGAAAGCTACAAGGAACCTGGATCTGTTCATTACAGAACTACCTTTTCAGCCTTGTGGAATTTACCTCTAGATTTCTCGTTTTGCAAGGAAAGTACACCTTATTTGCCTAAGCCACTATATGTCAATTTTGTTTTGTTATGGACAACAGATGTGGCACCAGAAGTGGAGTGCTTTAAGTAATAGAACCTAAAATTTGGCATTGGCTTAGTGAAAGAAGTCAGGCTTTGACAATGAGCACAAGGATTTCACAGGCTAGAAAGAGCCTTGTTATATGACATCAGAACATTCTTCATGGAAACCTGTCTCCTTTTGTTTCTCAGAACATAAACCATGATGTTTTATGTTGCTGTCAGGGGAAAAAGTAGATATAATTTATGTTGACAGATCCTGGTTACTTCTTGCCACTTTCAGCAAAGTCCCAAAGGATAGGGGTAAAAAGCTACTTTGTAAGCAGAGATGGTTAGTAATACGCTAGGGTGAGAGCCACTCTGCCTAGAGCCTCCAATCTCAACTGACTGAGAACTCCTTGCTCTAGAGCCCTGTAGGTTGAAATGCCAGTTTATGGCCCCTGCCTGAAATTGGCAAGGCTAGCTGCAGCAAGTGAATAAAAACAGGGCTTCAGGCCTTTCTAAAGAATCTCCCTGTAGGAGTTCTCAGCCAGAATACATCTGAACCTACTAATAACAATTAGATTAAACATCTTTTCCCACCAGGGCCTATGGTTTCAAATTGCCCCAAAAACTGTTAATCTAAGGGCAAGAGGAATGCAGAACACGTTGTCTGGTAGGTAGAAGAAAAGACTTAAAGACTCTAGGAAAGATCTTTGGCTATGGCTAGTGCTGCGTGAAGCTTACAGGAAGCTTTGCACATTTTTTATTTTTTTTTGAGACAGAGTCTCATTCTGTTGCCCAGGCTGGAGTGCAGTGGCATGATCTTGACTCACTGCAACCTCCTCCTCCTGGGTTCAAGCGGTCTCCTGCCTTAGCCTCCGGAGTAGCTGGCACTACAGGTGTGCGCCACCACGCCCCGGTAATTCTTGTATTTTTAGTAGAGATGGGGTTTCACCATGTTGGCCTCGCTGGTCTGGAACTCCTGACATCAGGTGATCCGCCGCCTTGGCCTCCCAAAGTGCTGGGATTACAGGCATGAGCCACCGTGCCTGGCCGAGGCTGATTTTTAATGGATGTTGGTAGAAGACGAAAGATCCATGGATCAGAGACAAAGGGCTTTATTACAGCAGAGCAAGCAACAAAGAACAACAGTACACTGCATCAGTTTCCCTAATCTCCAAGTCCCACAGGGGCTATGTGGATGTGCCCAGACATGTGTCCACACACACTGTAGGCTGCATTACAGATAAGGAGCCACAAGCTTAGGGAACCCAAATATTTTATGATGACCAGTAAGTTTGCCTGCCCTTTGCTCGGTATGAAAACATCTCTATCATCCTAGGCTGTCTGCTGTACAAACATCCTTGAAAACATAGTCCGAAACAAAAAATAGTGATTCTGATTTCAAGATATATAGAGATACAAGAGACCCATGGAAAATTGTCTCTCTGCAGCATATTAGCAAGGAAACTCCAGATTTGCTGGGCAACAGCCTTTGGTTTTTCAACACCTAAGGCCACTCCAGGCCCCTAAACTCACACTAATTAGAAGTAGGCTGTGAAGGCTCTGTGACGCCCCTGGGAAAGGCATCCTTTCCAAAGCTCTTATCAGATGAGGTCATGGATAATAATGAACTCCCAGGATTCCTTCAGAGGGCAGAACCAGGGGCTACCAGACATGCTAACTGATAGGGTTTGGATCTTTGTCTGCTACAGATCTCATGTTGAAATGTAATCCTCAGTGTTGGAGGTGGGGCCTGGAGGGAGATGATTGAATCATGGGGTGGATCCCTCGTGAATGGTTTAGGACCATCCCCTTGGTGATCATTGAATTCTTGCTCCATTAGTTTACACGAGATCTGGTTGTGTAAAAGCGTGAGATTGCCCCTTCTTCCTTTCTCTTGTTCTTGCTCTCACCGTGTGACATGCCTGCTCCCACTTCACCTTCCACCATGACTGAAGGCTTCCTGAGGCCCTCACCAGAAGCAGAGCACATGTTAGTGCCATGCCTGTACAGCCTGCAGAGCTGTGAACCAGTTCAACCTGTGTTCTTTAGAAATACCCCATCTCAGGTATTTCTTTATAGCAATGCAAAAACAGCCTAATATACTAACCAAGATCTTATCACCACCAAGGCAAGGATTCCTCATTCTCTCTGCCAAAAGCCATGGTTTGAGAATTGCTGCGACTGCCATGCGTTTCCCAGTGTCTTGTTCTCACTTGCAGCTGTGACTCCTTCCTGCTCCTTCCTCTTATCCAGTCAGTGTATTGGAGACAGTTACCTTATCTTTTAGTGTTAAGTTCACTATGCCCTGAGGAAACACATCTGGATCTGCACATCGTTCACTAAGATTATGAGCCAGATGCAATATTTGGATGAGTTGTTTTTTTTTTTTTAAGATTGTCTCCCTTTTAGACAGAGAGTGAGCGTGTTTTATTTGTATGAGGCATGCTTGCATTATGTTAGATGGGATAATTTTCTTGTGATTGTTCCTGTGTTGTTATTAAATTTAAGTATAGGCCAGGTGCAGTGGCACACGCCTGTAATCCCAGCACTTTGGGAGGCCAAGGCAGGCGGATCATGAGGTGAGGAAATCGAGACCATCCTGGCCAACATGGTGAAACTCCATCTCTACTAAAAATACAAAAATTAGCTGGGCGTGGTGGCGGGTGCCTGTAATCCCAGCTACTTGGGAGGCTGAGGTAGGAGAATCACTTGAACCAGGGAGTCGGAGGTTGCAGTGAGCCGAGATCGTGCCACTGCACTCCAGACTGGTGACAGAGCGAGATTCCGTCTCAAAAAAAAAAAAAAGTTTAAGGATAGAAGGCTAGGCGTGGTGGCTCACGCCTGTAATCCCAGCACTTTGGGAGGCCGAGGTGGGTGGATCCCTTGAGGTCAGGAGTTCGAGACCAGCCTAGCCAACATGGTGAAATCCATCTGTACTAAAAATACAAAAATTAGCCTGGTGTGGTGGCAGCCACCTGTAATCCCAGCTACTCGGGAGGCTGAGAGGCAGGAGAATCACTTGAACCTGGGAGGCAGAGATTGCAGTGAGCCAAGATTGTGCCACTGCGCTCCAGCCTGGGGAACAGAACAGAGTGAGACTCTGTCTCAAAAAAAAAAAAAAAAAAAAATCCCTGGCTGGGCATGGTGGCTCATGCCTATAATCCCAGCACTTTGAGAGGCCAAGGCGGGCAGATCGCTTGGGCCTAGGAATTTGAGACCAGCCTGGACAACGTAGTGAGATGCTGTCTCTACAGAATTTTTTTTTTTAATTAGCTGGGCATGGTGGCACTGTTAAGGAGGCAGCTCTAAAAGAGCCTGATGCAGGTGTTTCTTGGATTTAAATTTGAGAAACACTGGCCTATTGAATACAATCCCAACTGCTTACCATAGTGTATACAGCACTCACGTGCCTCAATGCCTACACACACACAAACACACACATACACGTTGAACTGTTTGTACTTCCCCAAATGCAGCAGCCTGTTCGGATCCTCAAGCCTTTGCTTGCACTTCTTTCTTTACTGTGACGTTCACTGTCCAATGTCCACTGATGTATGCACAATAACTTTCAAGACTCAGATTAAGCATGCTGCTCTAGAACACCTTTTATGCCCACTTCCCTCTCTCCCTCTCCCCAGGGGAATGAAGCACTCCCTGTTTTATCTGCCCTCTGAATTGATCTCTACGGCATGCCTCTCCCTGCCAGCCTATGAGCCCTTAACAGCAGTGCCCCTGTGTTATTCACCCTTATAGCAAGGGGCCTAGCACAGTGCTTGATATTCGTGAGATGGCTTAAAAATATTGGGCCAATCAAAGAATAAAAATATTACCTTCTTGAAATCAAGCCAAATACCACAGTTCATCTCTAACTCAGTAGATCTCTAGCTATGAAAGTTCTTTTCAAACTAAAAAAGGCAAAAGAAGGGGCCTTAGTAAGGCAAAATATATCAAATTTCTGCTGATCCAGAAGCTCCATGAACAAGCAGGATTAATATTTCAAGATATGCGCTCTAGGATTTTCTTCTAAAGTCTCCGGAGATCAAGATGAAATGCCCCTATCCAGACGGTTTCCCTCTCCAAACTATTAACATCAGAATTAATCTTATCTGGCAGTTTTTCTTTCTTTCTTTTTTCTTTTTTTGAGATGGAGTTTTGCTTTTGTTGCCCAGGCTGGAGTGCAGTGGCACAATCTCCGCTCACTGCAACCTCTACCTCCTGGGTACAAGCGATTCTCCTGCCTCAGCCTCTGGAGTAGGTGGGATTACAGGTTCCCACCACCACACCCGGCTAATTTTTGCATTTTTAGTAGAGATGGGGTTTCACCATGTTGGCCAGGCTGGTCTCGAACTCCTGACCTCAGGTGATCCACCCACCTCGGTCTCCCAATATCTGGCAGTTTTTCATTACAGAGAAAGTGTGTTGTAAAGCACAGTTGTTTTGGAGGTAGAAACAATGCAATTACACTTGAATCTGAGGCAAACACACAGTCCTTCTTGCTTAGGAGTTTTCTTTCCCTTTTCCTTAATGATAAAAACATGTCACTTCTTTGGTTTTATCTCCTACTCCCATATACAACCTAATGATGCTATTAAAAATTACTTGTAATTCCTCAAATGCAAAGATTCTCCCCATCTCTCTCTCTCTCTCTCTCTTTTTTTTTTTTTTTGAGATGGAGTCTTGCTTTGTCACCAGGCTGGAGTGCAGTGGCGCGATCTCCGCCCACTGCAAGCTTCGCCTCCCGGGTTCACGCCATTCTCCTGCCTCAGCCTCCCGAGTAGCTGGGACTACAGGCACCCGCCACCATGCCTAGCTAATTTTTTGTATTTTTAGTAGAGGCAGGGTTTCACCGTGTTAGCCAGAGTGGTTTCGATCTCCTGACCTTGTGATCCACCCGCCTCAGCCTCCCAAAGTGCTGGGATTACAGGCATGAGCCACCGCGCCTGGCCTCTCCCCATCTCTTTCTGAAGTTGGTTGACTTATATGTGGTTGTCAAGCCTCTCTTCACATATGGCCCCCTGGATGAAGCCTAAGTGTTTCCTGTCTGCTGCTTTCATCTACACCCTGCCCCCAGCCCCTGTTTCCTGCGCTGCTCCTTAGCTGGGTTCCCATCATGCCTCTATCCTGCCATTACCCTGTGTATTGCAATGATTTCATTCACTTCTCTCTCTCCTAGGCCAAAGGGACTGTGTTCCACCAGTGTAGCATCAGTGTCAGAGCAGCAGTTCCTTAATGAATGTTTTTGGAATGTACTGTACACGTCTTATGTGTCAGATACCATTCCAGATGCTTTTGATACACGGGTGGGCAAGACCAGCAAAGGGCCCTGCATTATTTGTGGGGTTTCCATTCTAGCAGAGGGACACAGACAAGAAAACTTATAAAACAAGCAAATCCTATAGTATGTGAGAAGATAGTAATTTCTATGGGAGAAAAAACTAGAACAGGGCCAGGGGAAGCAACAAAGTAGGAGTTGCAATTAAGGGCCAACTTACCCAGCAGAGGGGAAGTCTGAATGGAGAATGTAAAGGAGGTTTCATTTGCTACCTGTAGGGGACTCAGCAGGAATTTCTTTGTTCGGAAGGTGGTAGTGGGAGGTTTAAACCCAAAAGGGTGTTCCAGGCAGAGGAAGAAGCCACGTGTCCAAAAGCATGCAGTCTTGAGAGTTGATGATGCGGGGGTGCTGGTGGGAGCTCTGTGAGGCCGGGGGAGTGCGAAGGGCTGCGTGAAGTCATGGAAGATGAAACTGGCGAGGATCAGGGGCCAGGATGCGGAGGGACTCACGTGTCCCGCTAAGGAGTTTGCACTTTACCCTGTAGACAGCCAGAATCCTGTTGATGATTTTATGCAGGGGAATGACATGTTTATATTTATTTTGAGGAAGATAATTCTGGCAGATGTACTGGAGTGGTGAGAGACTGGACAAGTCACTTAACCTCTCTCTTCCTCTGTTTTACCATCTATCAAAGAAGATGAACCATATCTGCTCTGCTTACCTCCTAGGACTTTGGTGAGAAATAAATGAGATAAGAGATGTGAAAACACTTTGAAAAGTATATGGTACTGTAAAAATGCAAGCTGGTGCTGTTGTTATTTCAGCTGTGCTGTGTTTGGGAATGTGGTTTTAGAGAAGCCCACAGAATAAAGGAGAGAAGCAGAGGAACAACCCCATTCCTATCTCCCTAGAAGAATCAAACCCAACGATACCTTAGTTTAGTAAATGCCTATTTCATCGCCCCACTGTACAAAGAACTAAGGAACTTTTACAGAAATGAGAGAAAACCAACTTCGGGGGAGATTAGTCTGGAGAGATGCAGTACCTCCAGGAAAGGAAAACATACCCACTCAAAGAAAACCCAGGTACATGAAGATATGATCCAATGCAAGAAGAAGAAGCTAGAGAGGGATGGAGAATAGGGGCATTTGGACTCCCTAAAAGAAAGTGAAGCCCTGGCCAGGCGTGGTGGCTCACACCGTAATCCCAACACTTTGGAAGGCCAAGGCAGGCAGAACACTTGAGGCCAGGAGTTGGAGACCAGCCTGGGCAACATAGTGAAACCCCGTCTCTACTAAAAATACAAAAATTAGTCAGGCATGGCGGCACATGCCTGTAGTCCCAGCTACCAGGGAGGCTGAGGCAGGAGAATCGCTTGAACCCGGGAGGCGGAGGTTGTGGTGAGCTGAGATTGCACCACCGCGCTCCAGCCTGGGCAACAGAGTGAAACTCCATCTCAAAAAAAAAAAAAAGAAAAAAAGGGGGTCGGCTGGCTGCAGTGGCTCACACCTGTAATCCCAGTAATTTGGGAGGCTGAGGCGGGCAGATCATTTGAGGTCAGTAGTTCGAGACCAGCCTGGCCAATATGTCAAAACCCTGCCTCTACTAAAAATACAGAAAGCCGGTGTGTTGGCACATGCCTGTAATCCCAGCTACTCGGAAGGCTGAGGCAGAGGAATCACTTGAGCCCAGGGTCGGAAGTTGTAGTGAGCCAAGATCATACCAATGCACTCCAGCCTGGGCGACAGAGTGAAACTCCGTTTCAAAAAAAAAAAAAAAAAAAGAAAGAAAGAAAGGAAAAAGAAATGGAAGTCGTATAATTTGCCCTAATTAGGTGATGATTTGCTGAAAACACCTCTGTTGCTCCACTCCTTTAGATGAGGCAGAGTGGGAGGAGAAAACAGGAAGACATTTTACCAGGTAGAAAACTTTATAACTGGTTGCATGATGCAATCCATTTTTTTTTTCCAAAAGCAATGCTTTATAAACAAATTATGACATTTTGATATTTTCAAAATCATGAGTTTCTTGGTAACAAACATGAGTAAGCCTCATTACAGAAACACCTTGGCTCAGTCTACCGAGTGCTTTTCCCTTCTCTGGTATTTGTTGGGTATAAACAGATCCTAGGCATATTAAATTATAACCTTTTTTTTTTTTTTACAATTCAATGTTTTTAATATATTCACAGGGTTGTGCAATGAACACCACTATGTTTTAGAACATTTTCATCATCCCCAAAATAAAGCCTACACTAATTAGTTACTCCCCATTAAATTATGTCCTTAGGCTTCTTTTTGAAGTCAAGTTTGAGTAATAATATCCTTTGAATAATATCTTTCTATCTCCTACTACCTCAAGTAATTCCATAGATGTACTATTATTACGTTTTCCATTGTATGTACATTTGTAAATTCCTTTATAGATTATGACAAGGTGTATATCTTTGTAAAAGTGGCAGAACCGGCTGGGCACAGTGGCTCACGCCTGTAATCTCAGCATTTTGGAAGCCCGACGTGGGCAGATCATGAGGTCAGGAGTTTGAGACCAGTCTGACCAACATGGTGAAACCCCATCTCTACTAAAAATACAAAAATTAGCCAGGCGTGGTGGTGTGCACCTGTAATCCCAGCTACTCAGGAGGCTGAGTCAGGAGAATCGCTTGAACCCAGGAGGCGGAGGTTGCAGTGAGCTGAGATTGTGCCACTGCACTCTAGCCTGGGCAACAGAGTGAGACTCCACCTCAAAAAAAAAAAAAAAAAGAGTGGCAGAACCCTCAGTGTTTGAAAGTAAATCCTGCATTGGGATAGAGCCGCCCATGCCGTACACATCCATTGCCACCCATGTTGTACATTATATCCCCAGAACTTAATTTTTTTTTTTTTGAGACAGGATGTCACTCTGTTATCCAGTCTAGAGTGCAGTGGTTTGATCGCCACTCACTGTAACCTCTAACTGCTGGACTCAAGTGATTCTCCTGCCTCAGCCTCCTGAGTAGCTAGGACCACAGGCACTTGCCACTACACCCAGCTAATTTTAAAATTTTCTGTAGAGACAGGGTCTTGCTACATTGCCCAGGCTGATCTGAATTCTGTGCCTCAAGTAATCCTCCCACCTCAGCCTCCCAAAGTGCTGGGATAACAGGTGTGCATCACTGCACCCAGCCAAATTTATTCATCTTATAACTGAAATTCTATACCGTTTGATCAACATCTCCCCATAAGCGTTTGAGTCAAATGAGTGCCAGATATTTTTGTTGATCCATCTCTCCCACCCACTAGGCTTACTCCTTCACCAACAAGAGTGTGTTTATTCCCTCTGTATCCTCAGTGCCATGCACACAGTAACCACTTAAAAAATATTTAACCAAAATAGCACACAAGATACATCAATGATGACTGCAAGGTGTTGAGTCTGGTTTACTGAGAGAATGGTGTAACTCTTGAGAGACAGTTAACTCTTTAGTTGGAAGATCTTTACACTTAATAAGCATGTTATTGTTTCAAATATTTTTAATTTTTTAATCCTTTTTTTTTTTTTTTGCGATGGAGTTTCGCTCTTACGCCAGGCTGGAGTGAAGTGTCGCGATCTCAGCTCACTGCAAACTCTGCCCCCTGGGTTCAAGTGATTCTCTTGCCTCAGCCTCCAGAGTAGCTGGTATTACAGTCACACACCACCACGCCAGGCTAATTTTTGTACTTTTAGTACAGATGGGGTTCGGCCATGTTGGCCAGGCTGGTCTCGAACTCCTGACCTCAGGCAATCCACCCAATTAGAATGACCCAGAACACTGGCAACTCCCAATGTTGGCCAGGATGTGGAGCAACAGAACTCTCCATACCATTGCAAATTGCTACAGCTACTTTGGAAGGCAGTTTGGTGGTGTCTTAAGAAACTAAATGTATTCTTGTCATATGATTCAGCAGTTGTGTTCCTTCATATTTACCCAAATGAACTGAAAACACAAAAGCCTGCACACAAGTGTTTATAGCAGCTTTATTCGTGCTGCCAAGCCTTGGAAGCAACAAGGATTTTCTTCAGTAAGTGAATGGATAAGCTGTGGCACATGCAGACAATAGAATATTATTCAGTTCTAAAAAGAAATGAGCTATCAAGCTATGAATAGGCATGGAGGAAACTTTGATGCATACTTCTAAGAGAAAGAAGCCAATTTGAAAGCTCTACATACTACATGATTCCAACTACATGACATTCTGGAAAAGGCAAAACAATAGAGACAATAAAACCTCAGTGGTTGCCAGGGGCTGGGTGTGGGGCAGGGATGAATAGGAAGAGCACAGAGTGTTTAAGGCAGTGGAAATACACTGGATGATACCATAATGGTAGATACATGTCATTATACGTTAGTGCAAACCCATATAATTTACAATACTAAGAGTGAACCCTGAAGTCAACTAGGGGCTTTGGGGGATTATGATGTGTCCATGTAGGTTCATCAGTTGTAAGAAATGTACCACTCTGGTGGGAGGTGTTGATAATAGACTAGGCTGTGATTGTGTGGAGACGGGTGGGGATATGGGAAATCTCTGTACCTTTTTTTGGATCTTGCTGTGAACCTAGAACTGCCCTTAAAAAATAGTCTTTTAAGGCGAGGCTCAGTGGCTCACGCCTGCAATCCCAGCACTTTGGGAGGCTGAGGTGGGAGGATCACTTGAGGCCAGGAGTTGCAGACCAGCCTGTCCAACATAGTGAAACCCCATCTCTACTAAAAATACAAAAGATTAGCTGGGTGTGGTGGTGCACACCTGTAATCCCAGATACTAGGGAGGCTGAGGCAGGAGAATAGCTTAAACCCAGGAGGCGAAGTCTGCAGTGAGCAGAGATCGAACCACTGCACTCCAGCCAGGATGACACAGTGAGACTCTGTCTGAAAAGAAACCAAAACCAAAACCAAAAAACAAAAAAAAAACCTCTTAAATAAATGAATCACAATTCCTTAACATCATCAACTATCTGGTCAGAGTCCAATTTTTCTTATTGTTCAATTTTTACAGTTTTTTGAACAATGATGCACTAGAATTTAAACCTTGTGATTGATTGGTCATTGAATCTCTTTTAATTTATAAATTGCCCCTCCATCTCTTTTTTTCTTGCAATTTAGTTCAGTAGAATATTTCACATATGAATTTTATAAATTGCACCTATCTAGTATTGTTTCTCCCCTGTACTTCCTGTATATATATGGTTATTAGGTCTAGAGTTTTGATTAGATTCATTTTGGTGGTTTTTTTTTTTGTTTGTTTGTTTGTTTTTGAGATGGGGTCTCGCTCTGTCACCCAGGCTGGAGTGCAGTGGCACAATCTCGGCTCACTGCAAGCTCCGCCTTCCAGATTCAAGTGATTCTCCTGCCTCAGCCTCCTGAGTAGCTAGGACTACAGGCGGGTGCCACCACACCCGGCTAATTTTTTGTATTTTTAGTAGAGATGGGGTTTCACTGTGTTAGCCAGGATGGTCTTGATCTCTTGATTTTGTGATCTGCCCACCTTGGCCTCCCAAAGTGCTGGGATTACAGGTGTGAGGGATGTTTTATAGGTAATGGTTTGTGGGTGTGTAGTTCTACCAGGAGGCACCTATGCCTGGTTATTTTAGTTTTTGTGATATTAGCAGCCATGAATCAACATTATCTAGACCCATTAATCCATTAGGCGTTGCAGAATCCTGTAATTAATTAGGGGTTACCTTGATTTTTCTAATTCCAGAATTCCTTCATCTTTTATCAGCTGAAATAATTCTACAAAAAGAAACTTGCTGTCATCAACTACTTGATTACTCTGGGATATAGTTCACCCAAGAAAAGTAGGATAAATTCTTCTTTCTTTCCCTTTATCTACCAAATTCTAAATAGTAAATTGATTCCCCAGCATTCTTCAAAGGTAACAAGGAAGGTCTTTTTAACATAGCAGTTTAGGCCTGCGCAGTGGCTCACGCCTGTAATCCCACACTTTGGGAGGCTGAGACGGGCAGATCACCTGAGGTTATGAGTTTGAGACCAGCCTGGCCAACATGGTGAAACACTGTCTCTACTAAAAACACAAAATTAGCCAGATGTAGTGGCGCACTCCTGTAATCCCAGCTACTCGGGAGGCTGAGGTAAGAGAATTGCTTGAGCCTAGGAGGCAGAGGTTGCAGTGAGCTGAGATCATGCCATTGCATTCCGGCCTAGCTGACAAGAGTGAAACTCTGTCACAATAAAATAAAATATCAGTTTAAATTCACAAATTTATGTATATTTGATGTATTTCCATCCATTGGGATTACTGGCCAGTGGGAGCTTTTTCAAGTTGTCTCTTGGGTCCTTTTAAGAGACCTCAGGCATCTTTGAAGGCATTCTAACTTTCACAGAAAGATATTGCAGGCTCATCCTGTAGATTTCCAACCGTGGACCTGGAATCAGCTATTTCTCCAAGAAGGTTTGGGTCATTTTAGAGGAAAATGGTATTTAGAAACCACAATCTGAGAAGTAGGGGAAATAGGACTTCATTGAATTAAATTTTTTTTTAGGTTCAATATAAAATCCTTTGAATAGAGCCCCATCCATTTGTAAGGATCCACAGACTCCTGAAGATTTTTTCCCTAGAGAATTACTACTTTGATAAAGCATCATATTCTTTGAACACGTGAGTTTAAAAAGAAAACTTACTATATTGAAGAAAATAATAGCAATAACATTAATTTGCACTTAGGGCTTATGATAGGCCAATTGTGTGTGACACCCCCATTCCCACCAGAGATGTCCATAACTTAATCCCTGGAAACTTTGAATGTTATTTTATATGACAAAAGAAATTTTGCGATTTATTAACTTAAAGATCTTGAGGTGTGGAAATTATCCTGGATTATCTGGGTAGACGTTATACGTAATCCCAAGTGTCCTTACAAGAGGGAGAGAGATGGAGATTTGACAACAGAAAGGGAAGGCAATGTGACAACGGAAGCAGGGATTGAAGTGATGTGGCCACAAACCAAAGGACGCCTGAGCCTCCAGAAGCCGGAGAGACACAAAACAAACTCTCCCCTAGAACCTCCAGAAAGAAACAGCCTTGTGGACATTTTGATTTTAGCCTCCTAAAACTCAATTTAGACTTCTGTCTTTCAGAACTAGGAGAGACTAGGCCGGGCTTGGTGGTTCACGCCTGTAATCCCAGAACTTTGGGAGGCCGAGGCGGGCAGATCACGAGGTCAGGAGTTCGAGACCAGCCTGGCCAACATGGTGAAACCCCGTCTCTACTAAAAATACAAAAATTAGCCGGGCATGGTGGCGGGCACCTGTAATCCCAGCTACTCGGGAGGCTGAGGCAGGAGAATCATTTGAACCCAGGAGGTGGAGATTGCAGTGAGCCAAGATCATACCATTGTACTCCAGTCTGGGTGACAGAGTGAGACTCTGTCTCAAAACAAAAAAACAAATAAAAACATAGAACTAGGAGAGAATAATTTTCTGTTATTTAAAGCCATTATATTTGTAGCCATTTGTTACAGCCACAATAGGAAAGAAATGCAGAGCCTCATCCTAAAATGAGAGATGGGAGGTAGGGCAGTGTATTTTGGAGCATAACAAAAAAATTAAGAAAAATTGTGCACCTTAGAAGGTTCCTGGGATCTAGCGCAGGGCTTGTGTTTAGGTGAAAGTAAAAGGACTAATTAACAAGGCGGTTGTTAAACTTCACCTTTTACACCTGTTTTAGCAACTTGAACTTTTGCTCAAGCAGCTCTGGAGATAACTTGCTAGGAGGTTCCGCTGCAGGAGGTCAGGTAGCAGGCCTCCAAGCCAGGTTTTAAGAAATATGTGAAGCTCACAGGAGCAGTCAGCTGCTGATATGATGGGATTTGGCAACCCCACGGTGTTGTGTGGGGTTGACCTTGGGATGGGTGAAGAGCAAAGGCTTTCAGACTCACTACTCTTGGTAATAACAAATGCTGTTAGCAAGTAATAAAAGAGCATTTCACCAACAATCAGTAGTGGAATAATTCAAAACATATTTTTGTAAAGAAAGGAGCGGTAATGGAATTGTGTAATAGTGGGAATGAAGGAGCTCAAACCATTGCTTTTTAAGGGGGATTCAGAGGCTGATGCTGCAACCTTCTGCTCTGTGTGGTTTACATGAGAAAGCAGGACTCATCCTGCTGATCTAACGCTTCATAAACTCTTATCTCTGACTTATGGTCTCTAAGACAGACATTGTACACACTGGCTGCATTTTGCTTCATGCTTCAAAAGTTTAAATAAATAAGCCTTCACTTCAATTCAGCAGCTATCAGGGAAAATGATATTGTTTTTACTCATCCTAGCAAGGGGAGGCACTTCTGAAGTACCCACGCTTTCAAGCAGAACGAGAGCATTTCTGCCAATGAAGCGTGTCGTGCGTTCCCAAGTCACAGCCTAACTTTTTATCACAAAGGAAAGATGAATGTCCCAATCTAAACTTTGGCTGCTTGTTATTTTTGCTATGTATGGCCAGTGGTTTCCGTCGAATCAGTATGAGAAACACTTTTGATAATGATGTTTTTTTTCTCCTGGATAATTGAAAGTTGTTGATATTTAGGTGAAAAAGTCAGAATACTTTGTCAGATGGGTTGTGCAATTTATGAGAGAACAACAAATTCACACTGGTGTTGAGTGGCCTGGAGGGGCCACGGCAAGGTTACTGTACTTAGGAAGAAGAGAAATGGATGTTCTTTAAAAATCCCACTAAGTTCCTTTCATAAAAGTGTATCAATCCCCATTAAAAAATGCAACATGATGACTTTGACTTCCTTTGGCAAAATAACCATGAGAGTTTGCCATGAATCGGACATCAAAGAACCAATAAATTTAACGAGTAGTTTTCAGCACTAAAGACTCACTAGTTGGTCTGTTTCGCTATTATTACGCCTATGTTAAGGGGAAAAAAAGAATCTTGATTCTGATTAAGAACATACTACCTCTCAAGCTTCAATACAGAGAATATGCCTAACACCTAGCTCATAAATAGGTAGAATAGTGAGGTAAACTCTTGTGGGCAAGGATAGGCCTATGGTGCTTAGATGGTTGTCATTAAAAAGTCACTGCTTTTGGCTGGGCGCGGTGGCTCACGCCTGTAATCCCAGCACTTTGGGAGGCCAAGGCGGGCAGATCACAAGGTCAGGAGATCGAGACCATCCTGGCTAACGCAGTCAAACCCTGTCTCTACTAAAAATACAAAAAATTAGCCGGGCGTAGGTGGTGCACTCCTGTAGTCCCAGCTACTCGGGAGGCTGAGGCAGGAGAATGGCGTAAAACCCAGGAGGCGGAGCTTGCAGTGAGCCGAGATCTTTCCACTGTACTTCAGCCTGGGAGACAGAGCGAGACTCCATCTCAAAAAAAAAAAAAAAAAAAAAAAAAAAAAAAAAAAAGTCACTGCTTTCAGTTAGATAGTCTTTTTTAGATGTTCTCTGAAATGCAAAGGATGCTATTTGAAGTCACACATTGTCAGGTTTTTTTCCTCTGGGAAAACAGTAAGCAAGTTAGGAAGCGTTGGGAAACACGGGTAAGAGGAAGCTGTCAGATGGGGGCAGTGCTGGATTGTCCTGAATCTTCCCAATATCGTGGTGATTGCAAAGTCAGATGCGTGTGGGGCATGCAGGTAACTTACGTGAGTGATGTGGGCCTAATCAGTGGAAATTGTGACAAACTGAGTAACAAACCTTCTCTAAAGAGTCCAGCATCGGCCGGGCGCGGTGGCTCACGCCTGTAATCCTAGCACTTTGGGAGGCCGAGGTGGGTAGATTGCCTTAGTTCAGGAGTTCGAGACCAGCCTGGGTAAAACGGTGAAACCGCGTCTCTACTAAAATACAAAAAATTAGCCGGGTGTGGTGGCGTGCGCCTGTGGTCCCAGCTGCTCAAGAAGCTGAGGCAGGAAAATTGCTGGAACCCGGGAGGCGGAGGTTACAGTGAGCCGAGATCGCACCACTGCACTCTCGCCTGGGTGACAGAGCGAGACTCCATCTCTTAAAAAAAAAAAAAAAAAAAAGAGTCCAGCATCTTCTTAGCTATAACCACCGTTGCCGTGCACACTATCAGATGTGAATATGGGCTTAGTCCTGTTAGAGCTTCTGATTTTCTTCAGAAAAGCTGGGAATCCATATCTCTGTACATAATCCTCAGATTTTTGAAACATAAACAACTAACTCCAGTATTCTTAAAACATTGTGAAGACTAAATAAAATATATCTGTAGGCTGAATCAGGCCCTTGAACCACCATTTTACAACCCTTGCATTAGCTTAGGAAAACCTTTTACATTTTTGAGAATATGCAGTTTATTTATGAGAAAAAGACAGGACTCATATCTTCTACACAGAATGCCCCAGGTAAGAATGAAGAAAAGAAATAATTACTTAAAAGGGAATTTTTAAAAATACTTTTTAAAAAAAGTTCCTTTTGCCTTTAATTTTAGAGATTCTGCTCATGTTCAAATTTACTTAGGTTGGCATGTTTCCTTCCCAATCCTTCAGTGAGGTTGTTTCATATAGTTATTTTGTTTTGTTTTGAGATGGAGTCTTGCTCTATTGCCCAGGCTGGAGTGCAGTGGTACGATCCCAGCTGATTGCAACCTCTGCCTCCCAGGTTCAAGGGATTCTCCTGTCTCAACCTCCCAAGTACCTGGGATTACAGGTGCCCACCACCACGCCCTGCTAATTTTTTTTTTTTTTTGAGACAGAGTCTCACACTGTTGCCCAGGCTGGAGTGCAATGGCATGATCTTGACTCACTGCAACCTCCACCTCCTGGGTTCAAGCAATTCTTCTTCCTTAGCCTCCCAAGTAGCTGGGACTACAGATGCAGGCCACCACGCCGTTAATTTTTGTATTTTTGTAGAGACAGGGTTTCACCGTGTTGGCCAGACTGGTCTTGAACTCCTGACCTCAGGTGATCCGCCAGCCTCGGCCTCCCAAAGTGCTAGGATTACAGGCGTGAGCCACCGTGCCTGGGCTTGTTTTATATAATTGCAATAGATTAGATTCTTTGGTCATATTCTTCAGAAGATCCCCAGCTTCCTAAGTGAGTTTTTAAAGATTTGCATACATTAAGGTTCACCCTTGGTGCTGTGAAATTCTGTGAGTTTTAACAAATGTATAGCATCATGTATCCACCATTACTCTATCATACAGAATAGTTTTATCACCCTAAAAAAATCTCCTAGGCTGGGCACGGTGGCTCACGCTGTAATCCCAGCACTTTGGAAGGCCGAGGTGGGCAGATCACATGAGGTCAGGAGTTCAAGACCCACCTGGCCAACATGGTGAAACCCTGTCTCTACTAAAAATACAAAAATTAGCTGGGTGTGGTGGCACACTCCTGTAGTCCCAGCTACTTGGGAGGTTGAGGCAGGAGAATTGCTTGAACCAGGGAGGTGGAAGTTGCAGTGAGCTGAGATCGCGCCATTGCACTCCAGCCTGGCGAAACAGCGAGACTCCGTCTAAAAAAAAAAAAAAACTCTTGTGTTTCATTATTCAAATCATTTTTTGGCCTACTTACCATGAGCCAAACCTAAAACAGTATACAGAGCTGAATCTAAAGTGATGCTATTTTATTTTATGTTATTTTATTTTATTTTATTTATTTTTGAGGCAGAGTCTTGCTCTGTTGCCTGGGCTGGAGTGCAGTGGCACTATCTCGGCTCACTGCAACCTCTACGTCCCCGGTTCAAGCAATTCTCCTGCTTCAGCCTCCTGAGTGGCTGTGATTACAGGTGCAAACGACCACGCCTGGCTAATTTTTGTATTTTTAGTGGAGACAGGGTTTCACCACATTGGCCAGGTTTGGCTCGAACTCCTGACCTCAAGTGTTACACCCGCCTCGGCCTCCCAAAGTGCTGGGTAAAATTATACTATTTTAAATATTAAAAATTTACTTTCAGCTGCAACAACAACAACAAAAAATGTATTGGCAGAGTTCAGTTGCAGGAAACAGGACTAACTTATTATTTTAAGCAGAAAGGGATTTAATACAGGGAATTATATACTAAAGTTGTAGGTTCTAGGTTGGACCCTAGAAGCTCCCAGCACAACACCGAAGAACTGACTCAAAAGGGAGCTGCATCTGCTCCACTCGGGAAGGTGGGGATCATCAGGCCCCTGTTGATTTGAAGAACACAGAGCTGGAGCTGCACTCTTGAAATCAAGAAGCCACTGCACAGCCCTGCAATTGCCTTTGACCTTCACTAATTTAAAGGCTGTCCCCCGTTAATTTGCTTCAGTAAATCCCAAGGTCTCCATACCTGTGATGGCCAACAGCTTCAGCCAGAGCAGTAGAAAGATGGCTCCCTCCTCACTTCTGCCTTGCAACTCCACACAGTGCATCTCATGGACAGAGCCTAGTTCACATCCAGAAGCCCTGGCGCAGTGGGTTGAAGGCTGGCTCCCCAGAAGACTGGTCCACCGGGAACCCAAGAATGTGACATTATTTGGGGAGAAAAAGGCCTTTGCAAATGCATTTATGTTAAGAATTTCAAGTGAGATCATCCTGATTACCTGAGTGGGCCCTAAATCCAATGATAAGTGTCCTTACAGGAGACAGAAGAGGAGAAGACACAGAGAGAAGGGAAGGTCATGTGAAGACAGAGGTGGAAATTGGAGTGATGCAGCCGCAAACCAAAGAATGCCTAGCAGCATGGGGAACTAGGAGAGGCAAGGAAGGAATCTCCCTTAGAGCCCCCAGAGAGAGCACAGCCCGGCCAACACATTGATTTTGGACCTCTGGCCTCCAGAGCTGTGAGATAATACATTTCTATTGTTTTCTTTTCTTTTCTTTTCTCTTCTATTCTTTTGTTTTCTTTTCTTTTCTTTTTTTTTTTTTTTTTTTTTTTGAGATGGAGTCTTGCTCTGTTGCCCAGGCTGGAGTGCAATGGCAATCTCTGCTCACTGCAACCTCTGCCTCCCGGGTTTAAGTGATTCGCCTGCCTCAGCCTCCCGAGTAGCTGAGATTACAGATGTGCGCCACCACACCCAGCTAATTTTTGTATTTTTAGTAGAGATGGGATTTCACCATCTTGGCCAGGCTGGTCTTGAACTCCTGACCTCGTGATCCACCCACCTCAGCCTCCTAAAGTGCTGGGATTACAGGCGTGAGCCACTGTGCTGGGCCATTTCTATTGTTTTAAGCCACCTAATTTGTGGTAATTTGTTACAGCAATGCTAGGAAATCACAAACTTAGCTTCAAGTGACTCTAGGAGCTGTCATTTCTGCTTCCTGGCCTCTGCTGTATAAGAACGCTACTATTTAGAAAGAACTTGGACTGATGCTGAGTGCTGAGTGCTAATCTATCGTGTCTACCACTTGGAAATTGGAAGTTACATGGATCGGGATGGAACAAAGATTTCTTCCGAGCATATCTGTTTGGTCATAGCTAAAATCAAACCAGTTTGTTTACATTTATAAAACCACAGATTTAGCCTTGATGTTTATCCCTTAAATGAACTGCCTCCAACCACGCACACATAAAGTACAATACCAATAACAGTGCCCTCCTCTTTTAAAAATGTTGTATAAAGATGGGCCAAGTCTAAATTGGCTGAATTTATCTTGATATTTGAAGTGTCAAAAAGCATCTTATTTTTTCCAAAAAAAAAAAGGGGCATTATTTCCACTGCTACTTGCACAGCAAGCTTCAACGGTAATGACAGAGTGTCTCCCGAAGTTAAATGTGAGGCCTTAAATAACAGCTGATGAAAATACCTTCTGTTTAACACATGCAATCATATGTCATGCTTTTGGCACCATATAAGTTTGGTTAAATAGTGTTTATAATGTTACAAAATAAAAGAATCATTTTCTCAGGTTGTCCCAGTAAAATGCGGTTAAGTAGGCCATTACATAACAAATTATTATCTCATGTAACCATCGATAGTGTTAAAGGTAGGATTTTGTTTCTTTTTTTCCTTTTTTTTTTTTTTTTTTTTTTTGAGACAAAGCATTGCTCTGTCACCCAGACTGGAATGCAGCAGCACGATATCGGCTCACTGCAACCTCTGCCTCCCAGGATCAAGTGATTCTCCTGCCTCAGCCTCCCAAGTAGCTGGGATTACAGGCATGCGCCACCACACCCATCTAGTTGTGTGTGTGTGTGTGTGTGTGTGTGTTTGAGACAGAGTCTCGCTCTGTTGCCTAGGCTGGAGTGCAGTGGCACAATCTTGGCTCACTGCAACCTCCACCTCCCAGGTTCAAGTGATCCTCCTGCCTCAGCCCCTTGGTACCTGGGATTACAAGCACGTGCCATCATGCTTGGCTAATTTTTGTATTTTTAGTAGAGACAGGGTTTCGCCATGTTGGCCAGGCTGGTCTTGAACTCCTGACCTCAGGTGATCCACCTGCCTCAGCCTCCCAAAGTGCTGGGATTACAGGCATGAGCCACCTCTCCTGGCCTTTTGTGTGTTTTTAATAGAGACAGGGTTTCACCACATTGGCCAGGCTGGTCTCAGACTCCTGACCTCAAGTGATCCATCCGCCTTGGCCTGCCAAAGTGCTGGGATTACAGGTGTGAGCCACTGTGGCAGGCCAAGGTAAGACTGAATTTAAAGGAGTGGATTTAAAGGAGCTTCTCATCAGAAACTAAATGGGGTACCAAAACTGAGAGAAGGAATGGAGTTTAGAATCTTGTGAAATTCCAAAGCTCAAAAAGCCAGGAGATACGTGTGGGTGGATCTTCAAACAGAAGAGACAGTAGCATAACTAACATAACTGAAGTCAGGATGTGGAGCCGAGAATCTGAGACCACAGAGCGAAAGATGACACAAGTGATGAGACAATCTGGGACCCAGGAGGCTACTGCTGTTTGTGCCTTCTTTTCATGAAGAGTTAGGTCATGGTGCCTGGTGAGTTAAACAAAGGGCCAAGGTAGAAGGGACACCCTTGGACAACCAATGCTCCAATAAAATAATACATTTTTGATAAATATAGTGGAAAACTTACTGAGGTGATAGACATTTTTTAAGCCATGTGGATAGTATCCACCCAATAATAAGCAATTTAACACTCAAGATGCTAAGTTCAACGTCTAACTACAAACCAATGAAATTCAGAAGCCTTGTATGTTTAACAAAGTTGCAGAATAGATGACACCTATACCTTGTGATTTATAGCTAATTGGCTGGCTGGCTGGCTGGGAAACCTCCGTTTCCCAAAACGTTCCTCCCATTTACCATTCTACCACTAGAGATTTATTCCTCAGGTCAAGGTATCACCGCAAGCAGCCTCTTTTAATATGCATATAAACCACACTGAGGATTAACATGTTGGTTACGATAACAAAGGCCATTTATATAGAGCTGTGCAGTTTTCAAAGCATCATCATGTACGCGTTCTATATCACTTTTCTAACATCTATGGGGAGGGGTCAATGAGGAAATTGGAGCTTTGATAGGGATATGGGAGGACTAATTTGGAAGCTTGGGGCATGGTCAGAGGTGACAGCTTGGCTGGGGAGACACATCAAAGGGCTCCAGGCATCGCAAGGGTGGTCAGAGCCACCAGGGGTCTGAGAACACCAGAGAGGGAGCGCTGCAGACAAGAGCACACCCCCGATGACTTCACTACTTCACTACTTCAGTGTCTGTGCCCTCGACTCACAGTGAGCTGCTGCCCTATTTGCTGCGCTGCTGTATATGACTTTGATCTGCTCTCTCAGTGCCCTTAGCAGCACCATGGTCCCTTCTATTTTCAGAGGCAAATCCAGCATAGATTGATTTCCAGTGGTGAAAATGGGACAATGTTTTTGTGATGGAAGAGTGTAGTGGAGGCTATTATATTATGGCTACAACGCTAGTATTTGATGACTTAATTCATGAACTTTTCTTTGACAATTTATGCTTGGAGTTCGAAAGACTTTTTTGTGATCATCTCAGTATTTTAGTAGCAAATCATATTCTCTAAGTACTAGTTATTGGCAGGCATTCTTGTGGCCTTTTGGGAGTGAAGAGACCAATAAAAATGTATTTTTTAACACAAGGTGAGCCTTAATAATGGATAAAACCATTGAAGTGAAGAAAAGGCAAAAAAGGAAGCTATCCATGTTAAATAAGCAAATGCTAACAGCTATGAGCAGCAATTCTCAGGTTAGTGGGCATTTTTTTTGGAGCTGTGGCTTCAAATGAGTTTCAACATAAACACTACTTTGAATAGTTGATAAAAATGGAGTATGTGGGTTTACATATTGATTTGGTCGTGCTGATAGTCTTATTAAAGCAAGGCTGTAGAGGCCAGGTCACATTCTTTCCATGACATTTTAATGAGCAGTTTAGGGAGGGTGGTTGGCGTGGTGATTGTAAGTGGGGACAAGTGGCAAAGATTAACTCAGTATTCATTTTGCCTGACTGCAGAATTTAATACCTCACTGTTGCTGGTACTGTCAACACGTGGTAGAAAATATAAATTAGATTGTGCTCTACACAGACTGTATATAATAATTTCACTTGTTAACGTATTTTTAAAGGTTTTTAGTTGTTAACATTTCTTTTCCACATTCTTCTATAAGGATCATATATTATTAATAGCATGTTTATATTTTTATTAAAATATAATCCACATACTATAAAATTAACTTTTTAAAAATGTATAGTTCAGTGTTTTTTTCAGAAGGTTGTGCAGTTATCACCACTATCTAATTTCATTTTCATCACCCCCAAAAGAAACCCTGTACCCATTAGCAGTCATTCCACAAGAATATTTATATTTAATTGACCTACATATAAAAGGCTAGAGAGAGGTTATCCAGGAACACATCATCTAAGAGAATCAAGTGCTTAAGAAGTCCCCTTAAGATGGTGTGAGGCTGCCATTTTCTCTGATGAGCCAGACTATTCCAGGGTCTCCACTTTTCAAATTCTTGCCAATTTTATTTTTATTAACTGTATGCAAATCTCAGCTGCTGCCAGAGCAGAGAGATCAATATGGACAGTGAATAACTTTATGTGTAAGAACCTCATTTTATATCATTCTTTTTCAAAAAAATCTTTTCCAAATTTTAATTTATTTTATTAGTTAATAAAAATTTAATAACCTCCTTGCAAAGTTGTGGGCAGGATTTGGGAAGTGGTAAGTAAAGAAATGAAGGTGATATGGTACAAAGCCATTAAACGAACTATGACTGCTGCTTCTAACAGCACTAATTTGTTCCCCCATGTAATGAAATTCATAGATACGGAAACATTTTGTACTTCACTCATTATCTATTTTTCAGAGGAAGTGCATAAAATCCTAACATGAAAAATACTTTACAATAAGAGATAGTATATTGCTCTTAGCAAAAGCTACAATTTATTGTCATGTAGTTGACAGTAGATACCATTGTTTGCTTATTTTACAAAGTAGATGGCAATAAAATAAGACATGGCTGTGATGTAATATTAAAAAAAGTAACTGAATTTTTGCCAAGTTGAGTAACAAAATTTTAAAGGACTTATTTTGTACATCTGAATATAATGTGAATAAGAATATCCAACTTTTGCCTGGGCATGGTGGCTCATGCCTGTAATCCCATCATTTTTGGAGGCCAGGGCCAGAGGACTGCCTGAGGCCAGGAGTTTGAGGCCAGCCTGGGCAAACATAGGGAGCCCCATCTCTAGAAAAAACAATTTTAAATTAGCCAGGTGTGGTGGCACATTCTTATTTAGTTCTATAGGAGGCTAAGGTGGGAAGATTGCTTGAGCCTAGGAGTAGGAGGCTGCAGTGAGCTATGATTATTCCACTGTACTCCAGCTTGGGTGACAGAATGAGAAGAGGAAGAAGAAGAAGAAGAGGAAGAAGAAGAGGAAGAAGAAGAGGAAGAGGAAGAGGAAGAAGAGGAAGAAGAAGTTTTTATTTCAAATATGTATTTATATATATACACTGAGAAATAAGGTACATTTGTTTGAGTTTACATTCACTTGGTAACCAGTAGTTAATTACTGAGCTCCACCATTTCTAGAAGTATTTCATGAGTTTTATGGTGTGGCAGTTTTTAAAGATGGCCACAAATTCTTTGACACTTATCCCTTCAAGAGATGGGGTCTGTATCACTTCTGTTTGAAAATGGGCAGGCTTATCACTGCTTTGACAAAAAGTACAGGAAAGTGATGGTATGTGACCTCCAAATCTACATCATAAAAGGTCATACAGATTCCCCCTTGATCACTGATGCCGTGGCTCTTGTAAGAAGTCACACCCCTCAAGCTTCCATGCTGAAGAAGCCCCATGAAGGCATTTTCGTCGACAAATGTAGCTGAGCCTTGCCTTACAGCCATCCCTCATGTCCTCATGTCAAGTCTCCTGACATTTGAGTGACGCCATCTTGGATCCTGCAGATAAGCTCACCCACCAGCTGAATACTTCCAAGTGACCTCTGTTGACACCACATGGAACAGCTATACCCTGGTCAAAATCCTGACCCACAAAATTGTGAGATGTAAGAAAAAGAGCTATTGTTTTAAGCCACTGAGTCTTGTGATCGCTTGTTATGCAGCAATAAATAACTGGAACTGAGGGTCATCTGTTGGTATCCTTTGCCACACTACTGACCCTTTGAATTGATTATACCAGCTGAGTGGGCATTCCCTCTCTCCCTCATAGCTCTAAATGTTCCTCCAACAGGAAACCTTCCCAGAAAGAGACAACTATTTAGCTCTAGCCTGCTCTCCCCTCCCTCGTTCCCTGCTGCATTCTCCATCATTTTGTTTGCTTTGTTGCAGTTGCTGAAGGGCTTTCAAATTTATGCCAGACATTAGTTGTTTTAGTTTCTCAATGATTCAAATGATCTGGTCTAAGGCTTACATGAATGGATTTGGAATTTTAGAAAAAATAGTAACTTGAAAGATTTAAAAATTATTTCCACTTACATTCACCCAATGTAACATGAATGTTCTTGAAGTCTCTTATTTCATTAAACTGGGTATTCAACTACAAAGTGGAGTGGGAAATTCAGGTCGTTATCCTTGACCTGTACTCTTTTTTTTTTTTTTTTTTTCTTGAGACGGAGTCTCACTCTGTCGCCAGGCTGGAGTGCAGTGGCATGATCTCGGCTCACTACAACCTTTGCCTCCTGGGTTCAAGCGATTCTCCTGCCTCAGCCTCCCAAGTAGCTGGTACTACAGGCATGCACCACCATTCCTAGCTAATTTTTGTATTTTTAGTAGAGACGGAGTTTCACCATGTTGACCAGGATGGTTTCGACCTCTTGACCTTGTGATCCTCTTGCCTCGGCCTCCGCCCAGGCTTTTTTTTTTTTAGATGGAGTCTTGTGCCCAGACTGGAGTGCAGTGGTGCGATCTCAGCTCATTGCAACCTCCGCCTCCCGGGTTGCAGCAATTATCCCATCTCAGCCTCCTGAGGAGCTGGGATTACAGGCGCCCGCCACCATGCCCAATTAATGTTTGTATTTTTAGTAGAGTTGGGGTTTCACCATGTTGGGCAGGCTGGTCTCGAACTCCTGACCTTAGGTGATCCACCCGTGTCGGCCTCCCAAAGTGCTGGGATTATAGGCGTGAGCCACTGCACCTGGCCACTTGACCTGTACCTTTGAAAAACGGAAACAAGATATCAGAAAACTAAGATACCAGTTTTCTACCTTTCTAAATTAGTATACCTCTTGCCCTAAAGGGAAAAAAAGAATAATCCATGAAATCTGGCCCACAACAATAGCTTCTAGGCTAGCCAATTATTTTTTAAATTTGGGGAAACTTTTTCATTCATATCTTGGCTGCAGGTTTAAGAATCATTCATCCCTAGCTACAGGTATACCATGAATGAGGTAGGAATGAGTTACATTGGAGAAAGAAGCCTCCTGGATTAGTGGCTAAAGCCTCAGGATATGGGAACATATATGGTGAATCCACATTGCCTCCCATCCTTCTTTGAGAACACAGTGATGCTTTGAGTAACTTTGTATATATCTTGTCAGAGGCACAGCTCAGTATCTTTTTTCTTTTCTTTTAACAGTACAGTTTTGAGTTTCTGAATGATGGTTGGTGAATAAAAGCCAAATTTATGTAGGTATAGGAGCTACCCAACTGAATGTGTGTGGGGGAGAGAGGTCAAGGTTATTGGAAGAAAAGGGAGAGAGGGAGAGAAGGCGGTAACGTGAAAATGAACAAGGCCATTTTCTCTTAACCCAAGACATCACACTTGCTGCTCATCAGTGAATGCTGGGCTTCTTTTTCCTCTCCTGATTGCATTTCCTAACGAAGGGGAATATATGTAGCTGCCAAAACTTTAACTTTTCTCATCAGGATTTTGGACCATTTCATAAACTCTCCAGTGAGCCTACATGAACCCCACTGGAACTCTAGGATATGACATCTAAAGTTAGAAAGGACCTTTCTCTGCTTCTCCAAGTGCAGTCCAAGGGCCAGCACCATTGGCATCACTCAAGAGCTTGTTAGAAATGGGAAATTTCTGGCCTCAAATCAGACCTGCTAAGACAGAATCACCTTTTTAAACACAAGGCCTAAGTGATTTGTGCGCACATGCTATGTTAAAGCATGACAGGCACAGATCTAGTCCATCTGCTGGCTGCACCATTCAGGAACCAAATGGAATGAATGTTGGCTTAACCTGATAATGAAATTATCATTATAAATACAGGTAAAAAGAGTTTAAAGTTCAATTTTTAAGTAGGAAAACAACAACTTTATAAGCCAAAAATCAAACCAAACCAAACAAACAAAACCCACAATGAAATGATGATAAATCAAATAAGATGAGTGTAGAAGCTTTAATGGGAAGAATTAGCAATAGTCTCAAGATAACATCAAGAAAACAGCTTGGTGGCGGATAGGGATCCCCATATAGCAGCAGTCTCCAACCTTTTTGGTACCAGGGACCAGTTTCGTGGAAGACAATTTTTCCACCAATGGCTTGGAGTGTGGAGGGTGCTGGGATAGTTTTGGGATGATTCAAACACATTACTTTTATTGTGTACTTTATTTCTATTATTATTACATTGTAATATATAATGAAATAATTATACAACTCACCATAATGTAGAATCAGCGGGACCCCTGAGCTTATTTTCCTGCAACTAGACGATCTCATCTGGGGGTGATGGGAGACAGTGACAGATCATTAGGCATTAGATTCTCATAAGGACTGCGCCACCTAGATCCCTCTCATGCACAGTTCACAGTAGGGTTCATGCTTCTATGAGAATCTAGTGCTACCACTGATCTGACAGGAGGCAGAGCTCAGGAGGTAATGCAAGCAATGGGGAGTGGCTGTAAATATGGATGAAGCTTTGCTTGCCTGCTGCTCACCTCGTGCTGTGGTGCCTGGTTCCTAACAGGCCACAGATCGGGGGGGGTGGGGACCCCTGCCATATGGGACAGATTGAGAACCACTGGTCCAAGGGAACAGGATACTTGGGGATGATTACCTACAGTTTGTAAACAGAGGATGTTTCTCTCCTGATTTTCAAACAGCCCTGTCCTTTTGGATTCCTTAGTGAAAATTCCTAACCAGTCACAGATCAGGAAGTCTACAAAAGAATTCCAGTGCTGATGTATTTGTTTGTTTATTTGTTTGTTTCAGTACAATTTTGTTTGAAGCAAGTAAACTATGTTTTGGACTGTTGCAGCAGGTGTTTTTTTTAAATTTTCATAAAAGGAGAACTGCTGAGTTCAGAGGAAATGAGTACTCTTTTATTTAAATTTCCTGAGATTAGAGGAAGAACATATTGCCAAACAATGCTTCTTCACTTCAAAACCTCTCTCCATAAATTATTTGAGGATATCTTATTAAAAGTCTGTAAAATTTCCTATTAAGAACAGTTGATTGCAGTCCAGACCATCATAGCTTTGGTGCTTTCCCTGAAATACCACAGCTGTCGGGAAGAAATATATTTTGAGACAAAAGGTTTTGTTTCCCCAGCAATAAATTATTTCAGTGATATCTCAAGATAGATAAAACTTTCACTTATGTTTGAGTGAAGGAAGATTCTACTGATAACTTGTTAAAAATCTATAAAAAGAATATAAGAATGTAGATGTAGATAGCAAATTAAAATCAGACTTCCTTTAAGTTTAGCAAAGCAATTATTTGTAAAGCCAATGAAGATTATTATTATGGATAATGAAATGATTTACTGGAAACTGTGGAAATGACATTCAATATAGCCACATCTCTGCACAACATCAAGCTGGTATTTTCAACTTTAACCTTGGAGCCATTAGGGAAAAAAAAACTTACCTCCAGTAATATTTTATGTAAACTGCTAAAAAAAAAAAAAAAAACCCTACAAATAGTGGTGTGGATCCTGGGTGAGGTAAGAAATACCTTGTTTGTAGTGCTGAGGTAATAATCTATTGATTTCAGGGGAAATGGGCTCTTCAAAACAAAGCCATTCTCCCTAATTGTGATAGGGTAACCCCCTTGCTTCTCTCCACCCAACTCCCCATCCATAAACAAAAGGGCTTTTCTTACCATAGTCATAAGAAAATGTATTTTATGAAATACATTCATTTTCAGAGCTGCAAATTTCCTTTTACCCACTGAGAATAATGACATATACCAAGCATGTTGCTAAAGACTTATTTTATTTGAAAAAAATTTCCTGTGAACCTTTTCAGGGGACACAGGACTCATAAAACATTTAGTAGGCTGATAGAACTTCTTTTTCTTTTTTCTTTCTTTACTTTTCCTTTTTTTTTTTGGCTTTTGTTTTCAAGGCTGGTATAAAGCCAATGACAAAAATTTGTTATGTCTTCACCATTTCCAGAGTGATGTTAGTTAAGAAAGATCCAGTCCATTTTTTTGTCCCGTCCCTGAAAGTAATTCTATTGACTTCTGATAAATGCAGACCTTTGATATTTAAGTTTTGAATTTTAACAGGAGATGGAGTTGGGCGGGGGATTGAGACTTTACATAGTTCAATAATCACATAACTCACCAACTTTGATGATAATACCAAAGTGGTACAAAATGCTGTAAAACCTTGATCAAACAATAAAAATTTAAAATGTCTGATGAGGCCGGGCTCAGTGGCTCATGACTGTAATCCCACACTTTGGGAGGTGGAGATGGGAGAATACCTTGAGCCCAAGAGTTCAAGACTAGCCTGGGCAACATGGCAAAACCCCATCTCTACAAAAAATACAAAAATCAGCCAGTATGGTGGCACAGCCTGTAGTCCCAGCTACTTGGGAGATGGAGGTGGGAGGATCACTTGAGCCTGGGAGGTCAAGGCTGCAGCGAGCCATGATCGTGTCACTGAACTCCAGCCTAGGCAACAGAGTGAGACCCTGTCTTAAAAAAAAAAGTATGATAAAGTAATCCTAATTATCCATTCATTTTGAGTTTAGAGATAATGAATAAGTTGTGTCAACATAGTGTTCATAATTTTTTTCAGAAATTAAAAAGCTGAGGGACGCTTTACAACTTTTTAAAATAAAAAGTATGTATCTGAAGAATACATAACCTACAAAACCTTCCTCTTTAGTAGGGTATCTGAAATTTAAAAATGATGCAACTATGTACTAGAGTGCATATTATCAGCGGTTTTGTGTTTGAACAACTTCATTTTGCCTCGAATAAAGGATCTGCGCATGGTGAATGCATGCTGCCTTCTAAAGCCTGCAGTCGTTAAAAGAACATTAATCATTTAAACAAGGTCACAAGCAACAAAGGCCAACGAGGGTTCAAAGTTTACAGGTCCAGGGATTTATCAGGTAGAAATAGGCTACATTTCAATATTTTGTAAAATATCCTTTTATGAAAGAGCTATCAGTCATGGTACAAGGCTGGTAAAACTCTGGTTATTTCAGTGAACAAAATGAATGGTGATAATGAATCAAGAGACCCTTTATGAGTTTATATTTCTGCAGGACCACCATGGCTTGAACATACGTTTTCAATTTCTATAAGGATGTGATTATTATGTGGGAATGTCTTCCTCCCCCTGGCTAAAGCCAAAGATATATCAAAATTGCATCCACTTCTGATAGGCAGATTAGGCTCCCTTGATAGGCAGAGCTGGCATTTCTAAATACCATGCAAATTATGATTTTCCATTGAGTTGGGTGATAGTTTAAATTATTTTTATTGGAGAGGTCTAAAACTTCAGTTTTGGTTTATATTTAGTATGTTTAATTGCATCAGCTTTGTGGATGGTGCCTTAAAAATTAGTCTGAATGGCCGGGCACAGTGGCTTATGCCTGTAATCCCAGCACTTTGGGAGGCCGAGGCAGGTGGATCACAAGGTCAGGAGTTGGAGACCAGCTTGGCCAACATAGTGAAATCCCGTCTGTACTAAAAATACAAAAAAATTAGCCAGACATGGTGGCGTGCACCTGTAATCTCAGCTACTTGGGAGGCTGAGGCAAGGAGAATCACTTGAATGTGGGAGGTGGAGGTTGCAGTGACCCAGGATCATGCCATTGCACTCCAGTCCAGGTGACAGTGCAAGACTCTGTCTCAAACAAAAAATAAATAAGTAAAAAAATTAGTCTGAATGTATTGCATTTCTGATCCAAGTTCTAGAGTGAGTATTGTCCCCAGTTGTTGGTGGCTCCAAATATACATTTTCCCATTCCTTTGAAATCTTGGTTTTCGTGGACTTCTAACGTTTCAAGTTCAGAGAAGAAACAAATGTTTCACTTTCCATTGCATTTAATCAAAGAGCATTTTGTCTCTGAGTTTATTTCTTACCAAATTTGCATACCACAGAATTCACCCAAATAAAGTGTACAATTCAGTCATTTTTAATGAATTCACAGAGTTGTGTAACCATCACCATAATCGATTTTTGAACAGGTCATAACCCCAGAAGGAAACTCTATACCCACTAGCAGTCACTCCCATTTTTCCCCAAATTCCCCCAGCTCTGGGCAACTACTTGACGTGGTTTGGATGTTTTGTCGCCTCCAAATCTCTTGTTGAAATGTAATCCCCGGTGTTGGAGGTGGGGTCTGGTGGGAGGTGTTTGGGTCATGGGGGAGGATCCATCATAAATGGCTTGGTGCCCTTCTCACGGTAATGAGTTCACTTTATGGTTTTCACTCAGAGTTCACTCAAGAGCAGGTTGTTTAAAAGAGTTCAGGCCAGGCGCAGTGGCTCACGCCTGGAAGGCCGAGGCGGGCAGATCGCTTGAGCGCCACAGTTCGAGACCAGCCTGGGCAACATGATGAGACCCCCATCCCTATTAAAAAAAAAAAAAGCCAAAAATTAACCAGGCGTGGTGGTGTGCACCTGAGGTCCCAGCTACTTGGGAGGCTGAGGTGGGATGATCGCTTGAGTCTGGGAGACGGAGGTTGCAGTGAGACTGAGATCACACCATGGTACTTCAGCCTGGGTGACAGGAAAAAAAAAATAAATAAATAAAGAGTTTGGCCCCGTGGCCCCTCCCCCACCTCTCTCTCTTGCTTCCTCTACCGCCAGGTGATGCCTGCTCCTCCTTCACCTTCTGCTATGATTATAAACTTGCTGAGGCCCTCACCAGAAGCAGATGCTGGCAGCACTCCTGTACAGCCTGCAGAACCGTGAGGCAAAATACACCTCTTTTCTTTATAAATTACTCAGTTTCAGGTATTACTTTTTGTTTGTTTGTTTGAGACAGTCTCACTCTATCACCCAAGCTGGAGTGCAGTGGCTCAATCTCAGTTCACTGCAACGTCTGCCCCCTGGTTCCAGCAATTCTCCTGCCTCAGCCTCCCGAGTAGATGGGATTACAGGGGCCCACCACCACGCCCAGCTAATTTTTGCATTTTTAGTAGAGACGGGGTTTCAGTATGTTGGTCAGGCTGGTATTGAATTCCTGGGCTCAAGTAATCCACCGCCTCCACCTCCCAAAGTGCTGGGATTACAGGCGTGAGCCACCACACCCAGCCTCAGGTATTCCTTTATAACAAGAAAAACAGACTAACACATCACTAATCTACCTTTTGTCTTTATAAATTCACTATTCTTGATGTTTCACAGAAATGGAATCATACAGTATGTTGTCTTTTTTTTTTTTGAGACGTAGTCTTGCTCTGTTACCCAGGCTGGAGTGCAGTGGCGCAATCTCGGCTCACTGCAAGCTCCGCCTCCCGGTTTCACGCCATTTTCCTGCCTCAGCCTCTCGAGTAGCTGGGACTACAGGCATGCGCCACCACGCCCGGCTAATTTTTTGTATTTTTAGTAGAGACAGGGTTTCACCATGTTAGCCAGGATGGTCTCCATCTCCTGACCTTGTGATCCGCCCGCCTCAGCCTCCCAAAGTGCTGGGATTACAGGCGTGAGCCACCGCGCCCGGTCATGTTGTCTTTTTTGACTGGATGTTTTCATTTAACATAATATTTTCAAGGTTCATCCATGGTAGCATGCATTGGTATTTCATTCCTTTTTATGGCCAAATAATATTTCACTGTATGGATAGACCATATTTTGTTTGTTCATTCATCAGTTGATGGAAATTTAGGTTGTTTTCACTTTTTGGCTATCATGAATAATGCTGCTGTGAACATTTATATGCAAGGTTTTCTATGGATATACATTTTAATTTCTCTTAGGTATATGCTGAGGAGTAGAATTTCCAAGTCGTACAGTAACTGTATATTTAACATTTTGAGGAACTGCCAAACTGTTTTCCAAAACAGTTGCACCATCTCACATTCCTACAAGCAATGTATGAGGGTTCCAATTTCTCCACATCCTCCATGAAACTCATTACAGTCTTTTTCATTATAGCCTCTCTGACTTCACTTGTACTATTGTTACAATGTCAGAATTGTACACTGAAAAAGCATTAGGCTAGAAAAAGTATTTACTTGGCCAAAAAAAATTATTTGATTAGAAAAAGCATTTAACAGAGATAACACATTTATATGGCACTTTTAACTTTTCAAGAGTTTCACATCTTTCAGTATACTGTAAAGGATTAAAACCCCACTTCCAGAGTTAACTACACCCCTCCCATTCCATGAATCCATTGGAACCTAGACGTTTGCTGTCGTAGTCATGGTTAAGAGGCTACAGGATGTGCCAAATTAATACCATGTTTGGTAAATGGAGATGTTATAAAGGTACTCACCAATGCTGTGTAAATACTGTTGGCAATATGTGTCAAAAATGTAAGTTCAGGGGCTGAACAGGGTGACTTATGCCTATAATCCCAGGACTTTAAGAAGCTGAGGCAGAAGGATCACTTGAGGCTAGGAGTTCAAGACCTGACTGGGCAACATAGGGAGATCCCATCTCTACAAAAATACAAAAATTAGCCATGTGTGGTGGCAAGTGCCTGTAGTCCCAGTTACTTGGGAGGCTGAGGCAGGAGAATCAGTTGAGCCCAGGAGGCTGAGGCCACAGTGAGCCATGATTGCACCACTGCACTCCAGCCTGGGCAACAGAGCAAGACCTTGTTTAAAATATATATGTACATATACATAAGTTTAGTCATTTTAAAAATTAGCCATGTAAGATTCTGGGATTCTCAGAAAGTCTAATATTCACTGGCTGCATGATATTTCTTCCTATAAATGGATCATAATTTATTCAAACATTTCTTAATTTTTGGATGCGTAGGTAGTTTCCAAACTTCACTATGATAAGTTGTGTTGCAGCGAACAGTATAGCAATTTCTGTCATGACAAATAAAGAGTTGATAGACTGAATTTCCTATTGCTGGCTTTGGCTTCATGAAAATCAGTCTGAGATTATCTTGAGACTGTGTAGAGCTGACACAAAACAGACTGAGCTTTACTTAGCAAGGGACTCATCCGAAAGACTCCTATGAGCCACTAAACAGGGGCATTCCAAGGACCCAATTTATCTGTCTTGAAAGGTTAAGCTCTCATGTTGACCCTGCCAAGATTCAGACCGGTGCTCCCAAAAAGGCTGTATATTTTGGGGCTGCTGTTGGCCCTGAGTAGCCATGCTGTTTAGCTAGTGTGATTTCTCTATCTTCTAATTGGAAGGCAAGGACTCTGTGATCCAACAGAAATTTCTCTTCCCATTTGAGACTATGCAGTATAGATCTCTCTTTACTTCCAAAGAGGTAGATTTGACCATAATGGAAAGACTGGAAAAAAATTACATATGATATGGAAGAAATAGCATGTTATACTTCAACACATAAGTCAAATACTAGAAGTAGCATACTAAATGGAACGAACACAAGATTAGGAAAAATTAGGAAAGCTTGGGTCGGTCCTGATCCTGTCACTTACTAGCTCAGTCCTCTGTTTATGTGGGGTTCTGAATTGGCAGATTCAGCGCTTCTTGGATATCCCTCCCCATTCTCTTCCCACCCCTTGAACTATAACTTAGTGTTCTCAGGGGTTCCTGTCCACCCGTGGCTCTAGGCTCTGTTCTTTGACTGCTGCTTTGCTTATTCTAACGTTTCACTCAGATGATCTGCCTACTCCCAAGGCATCAGCCACCTGTTTGAGGCCTCCCCAAGCAGTACTAAAATCCTGTTCCCTTAAACGTGTCAGCAGTCTCTCTCCTCAGTCTCCCAGCCTTGGCTCATGCCCTACAGGGACTGCCACCCAGCCCCCAGCCTCTTTTCCCTGGCTAGCCTTCCCTCACCTTTTCACACTCAGGGTGGATATTATGTCCCACAGCAGGGATCTTCCAATACTTTTGCTCTCATATCTACCGAATTTATTTTGAAAAGCAACGCACCCCTTGCACAATTTATGTTGATTGATCATCAGAAAGTGTTACCATACATTTAGATAGTTGCAAAGAACGTAATTTCTGACTTATTGTAAACATTGGCATTTAAAAATAAACTGTTATTCTCATAAGTATATCCAATGGATATTTTTTTTTTTTGAGACCCAGTCTTGCTCTCTTGCCCAGGCTGGAGTGCAGTGTTGTGATCTAAGCTCACTGCAACCTCTGCCTCCCGGGTTCAAGTGATTCTTGCGCCTCAGCCTCCCAAGTAGCTGGGACTACGGACGTGTGCTACAATGCCGGGCTAATTTTTGTATTTTCAGTAGAGACAGGGTTTCACCATGTTGGCCAGGCTGGTCTTGAACTCCTGACCTCAAGTGATCCACCCCCCCCTTGGCCTCCTAAAGTGCTGGGATTACAGGCGTGAGCCACTGCACCTGGCCTTTGAACTTTTATTTCGTTCTGCTTCCCCTCAAAGAATTTCATCATATGTAAATTATTTTAACCTCAAAATTCTTTCATTGATCATTCCTTCATATTTATCTACCATAGAAATAGGTAAATGGAAATGAAACATTTTTAAAATTCCTATAATCATAAACCTCTATGAGTTAACATTTTTCTTCTCGATAAAGGCTTCATTACAATTACATGGTCATGGCCAGCTAATTTTTGAATTTTTTTTAGTAGAGATGGGGCTTCGCCATGTTGGCCAGGCTGGTCTGAAACTCCTGACCTCAGGTGACCTGCCTGCCTCGGCCTCCCAAAGTGCTGGGATTACAGGCATGAGCCACCATGCCTGACCCAGATAGACATTTATAACAATTTATAGATCCATGGATGACTATTACTTATTACTAAAATGAAACAGAATTTCTGCAATATTTCTATTCTAATTTTTCTTTTGTATGTAAGCATCAAAAAACTTCACTTACAAATTGAAGAAAAGAAGTTTTATTTGGGCAAAGTCTTTTAATACTTTAAACTCTTTCCAAACTAAGGGTTACAAATAACATAATTATCTAGCATCAAAATTTTTAAAAAACTGTTCTATTGGCTAACAACTAGATTATATCCATTTTAATTCCGTAGAAGGACTTGTGCTTCAGCTGTTGGAATAATTTGACTTCTTAGTTTGGGAGGTAAGCCCAAAGTTTGGCCAAAATTTATCAAATGATTATTAATTATATTTGTTATTCTCTTGATTATGATGTTATGATGTATCCTATTCAACCATCAGATTCAGAAAGGGTTGGGAATATCAATTTTTCTATTTCAATACTCCTTTGTTAATGCTTTTTTTGGTCTAAAATTATTTTATATTGCCACATGCTTTCAATATATTTTTACCAAATATTTGGAGCTTCAGATTATATTCATTTAATTTATGGAAATTACCCTATACAACCTAATTGGTAAAACCAGTGGTCACTCTTAAAGTAGATGCATTTGGTCTTTCTATGTGAAAAGAAATCAGCTGTTTTATGGTCTATTTGGCTTTGGTTATGTGAGTGTGTGTTTTATTTAATGACATCATAACTGACCTGGCTGTTCAGTTAATATTCACATTTCTCTGACTTTATAGCTTCTTGTGTCCTGCTGGCATTTCTGAAGGGCAATTATTGTCTGGAAATTGAACATCAGAGTGAGTTCATTTAATCTAAAAACGAATTTCTTAAGTTTTTATTATTATATGGTTTATCCGATTCAGTTAAGACTGGTAAAAGAATGAGATGCAACAATAGAATTGCACTGATCCTATGTTGATGTGATTAAACTATATTGATTGCATGACAACCAACTTCGAATAATCAGAATAGTTATAATGAATAGGTGCTCAACAAATGCTTGCTGAGTAAATGAATAATGAGTAGAAAAACCCCAAACAGATGTCTGAATGGTTGCTTGAAAAGTTTCCAGTAAACTATGTCTATTCCAAAATTTGTCACTGTTTCTAAATCTTCCAAATAGAAAACTAATAGTAGTAATTCTCACAAAACTAATAATAGTAATTCTCATAATACTATGGGATTGCTATAAAGATAAAAGTGTCACTTTGGGAGGCTGAGGTGGGCAGATCACAAGGTCAGTAGTTCGAGACCAGCCTGGCCAAAACAGTGAAACACAGTCTCTACCAAAAAGACAAAAAATTAGCTGGGCATGGTTGCAGGCACCTGTAATCCCAGCTACTCAGGAGGCTGAGGCAGGAGAATCGTTGGAACCCAGCAGGTGGAGGCTGCAGTGAACCGAGATCACACAATTGCACTCCAGCCCAGGTGACAGTGCGAGACTCTGTCTCAAATAAATAAATAAATAAAAGTGTGTAAAGTTCTTACACAAACATGGAAATCTGTATCTAGAATTAAGTTAAAAGACTTAGTTGATACCTTTCTAAATTTGAGACTGGGGAATGACATTATTTCCTAGTCTTCTAAGAGTGTAAGTTAGATATTTCTACAGTTGCTACAGAGGGCTTTGATTTTAAACAACCAATTCAAATTCTTAGTACAGAGGCCCAGAACCTATGTTAAAACAAACTCTGCTTGATTTTTTGGCACTTTGAAGTATTTACTATTTTTTGAACAACAATAGAATTCAACCCAGCACATTTAACTGTTTAATTAAATCTCATCTAAAATGGTTGTTTTACAATCCTGTTAAAAAGTGGGCAACTGGCTGGGCGCAGTGGCTCATCCCTGTAATCCCAGCACTTTGGGAGGCCGAGGCAGGCAATCACTTGAGGCCAGGAGTTTGAGACCAGCCTGGCCATCATGGCAAAACCTTGTCTCTACTAAAAATACAAAAATTAGCTGGGCTTGGTGGCTCACACTTGTAATCCCAGCATTTTGGGAGGCTGAGACGGGTGGATCACCATTGGTCAGGAGTTCGAGACCAGCCTGGCCAACGTGGTGAAACCGTGTCTCTACTAAAAACACAAAAATTAGCTGGGTGTGGTGGTGCATGCCTCTAATCCCAGCTACTTGGGAGGCTGAGGCACAAGAATCACTGGAACCCGGGAGGCAGAGGTTGCAGTGAGCCGAGATCACACCACTGCACTCCAGCCTGGGTGACAGAGCCAGACTCCGTCTCAAAAAATAAATAAATAAAAATAAAATGTTGCAATAAACCTTTTCAGCAGTTGCTTAGATTGGGTTTCTGAGAAGCAGATTCTGAAATGGAGGTTTGCCTGCAGGAAGTTTACTGGGGATTACTCTTGGGAACAACACCTGTGAGGGGGTGAGGGTAGCCAGATTGGGCAGAGGGAGAAATTGACCTGCAGTGCTGGTGCTGCAGAGACCTCCGTTGATCCTATGGGAGTCGCGGAGCTGGGATGGCCTTTCAGGGTTGTCCTGAAATGAGGCACGTGAGCGAGGCCTTTATATTTTATCACCACCTCCCACCCCTACCATTGACCCATTATGGGATGGAGGCTGCCCCCAGGGAGGGAGCATATTTAGATAAAGCAGCTTGTTTTGGCCCAGGGCAATTCCTACAGATGGAATCAACTGTGAGCTGCCAACAGCCATCACTCTCAGCAGCTGCCACGGTCCTGCAGCGGGGATCTGGGCAGTGTACCACAGTATTCACTACAGTAACAGTGAGAAGAAAGAAAGGAAGGAGGAGAGGAAGGAAGGAAAGGAAGGAAGGTTTCATGAAAAATTAAATACTGAGTTTCTGTATTTCAAGAAAGTTGATGAACTTGTAACTTGCACATAATGTCTGTGAACATTTACTATTATCGAGTCCGTAGTGATATCATCGACTAATGAAAACCAGAAGACACAACTCTGCTGAAGAAAAGTTAGTGATTATTTTAAGACGATAACACAGGCAATTGTGGAAGTTGTATTTATGTGTCACTCTTCAAAGGAGGGGTCCCCATGGACCAGTACCTGATGGACCGGTACAGGTCCATGGCCTGTTAGGAACCAGGCTGCATAGCAGGAGGTGAGCAGTGCTTGAGCAAGTGAAGCTTCATCTATGTTTACAGCTGCTCCCCATCACTCGCATTACCGCCTGAGCTCCACTTCCTGTCAGATCAGTGGCAGCATTAGATTCTCACAGGAGTGCAAACCCTATTGTGTACTGTGCATGCCAGGGATCTAGGTTGTATGCTCCTTATAAGAATCTAGGTCGGGTGCTGTGGCTCACGCCTGTAATCCTAGAACTTTGGGAGGCCGAGGCAGGCAGATCACCTGAGGTCAGGAGTTTGAGACCAGCCTGACCAACATGGAGAAACCCTATTTCCACTAAAAATACAAAAAATTAGCTGGGTGTGGTGGTGCATGTCTGCAGTCCCAGCTACTCGGGAGGCTGAGGCAGGAGAATCACTTGAACCCAGGAGGTGGAGGTTGCAGTGAGCCGAGATCATTCCACACTCCAGCCTGGGCAACAAGAGCAAAACTCTGTCTCAAAAAAAAAAAAAAAAAAAAAGAATCTAATGCCTGATGATCTGTCACTGCCTCCCATCACCCCCAGATGAGACTGTCTAGTTGCAGGAAAACAAGCTCAGGGGTCCCACTGATTCTACATTACAGTGAATTATACAATTATTTCATTATGTATTACAATGTAATAATAGTAGAAATAAAGTGCACAATAAATGGAATGCAGTTGAATCATTCAGAAACCATCCCCCGACCCCCATCCATGGAAAAATTGTCTTCCACAGAATGGGTCCCTGATGCCCAAAGGTTGCGGAGAGGAGTCACAGCTTTAAAGCATAACTTTTCATTTTGTTAAACGAATTTTGCTTCTTTTGATCTGAGCTATCTTGGCCTGGGTTCCCCAGAAAGTGGCACCTAAGATAAATACTTACTCTCAGATATTTCACTGGTGAATGTGGTTTGCCAGCAGGAATGAGAGACAGGAAGAGCAAAGGAGGAAAAGAAGGAGCGTCAACATGAAGAAGTGTTACCACTACACGTGACTCATTATTCAATCTCATGGGACTGCCTGAAGAGCCACATTCAACACATCTCCAGGCAGCCCTTCAGAGGAAGAAAGCGGTAACATTTAACAACTGACCCCTGGCCAGGCATGGTGGCTCACGCCTGTAATCCCAGCACTTTGTGAGGCCAAGGCGGGCAGATCACGAGGTCAGGAAATCGAGACCATCCTGGCTAATGAGGTGAAACCCCGTTTCTACTAAAAAATACAAAAAAATTAGCCGGGAGTGGTGGCGGGCGCCTGCAGTCCCAGCTACTCGGGAGGCTGAGGCAGGAGAATGGTGTGAACCCGGGACGCGGAGCTTGCGGTGAGCCGAGATAGCGCCACTGCACTCCAGCCCGGGCGACAGAGCGAGACTCCATCTAAAAAAAAAAAAAAAAAAACAACAACTGGCCCCTGTTCCTTGTTGGTTAAAAGTTCCTTCCAGGGACCATTACCTCCTCTCACTTCCAAGCTGTGCGTGCATGCCAAACATTCTGCCGAGATGTTCACAGAGAAGCTTGGGGAAAGAAAGTAGGAAACCGAAACCAAAGGTGCAGAGCTGAGGTGAAAGACGGTTTAGATGCTCCGATGTGATGACTGAGCAGAACTGATGAGGCTGAAAAAACTGAAGTAGTGCACAACAGGTACCTGGTATATATATATATATATATATATATATATATATATTTTTTTTTTTTTTTTGGGCATGTGTAAGAACTATACAGCAAAATCTGTTAATGTGTTGGCTCCATTAGATGAATAAAAACTTTACAGTCAAGTGATGATACCTGATGTTAGGGACTGAATCAGATATTTCTCTTTTATTTTCTTTCTTTCTTTCTTTCTTTTTTTTTTTTTTTTTTTGAGACAGAGTCTTGCTCTGTGGCCCAGGCTGGAGTGCAGTGGCACGATCTCAGCTCACTGCAACCTCCGCCTCCCGGGTTCAAGCATGAATCAGATATTTCAAATAGAAACCCAGTTAAATTCATTTCAATGGTGGTTCCACTTTTTAATTCAATTCATGAAATCAGTAAAATATTTGAAAGTTCATTTGGTCAAAGGTGAAACATCTGCCATTATTCTAAATGTTTTTAAAATTAAGTTTAAAAATCCATCATTGAAGATAAAATTATTTATGTTTCTGGCGATAATACAAATAAGAATTTTGGTGGAGCACAGTATTGAGGTAGAAACAAAACTTGTGTTAAATTAAGGAACTTGCCAGGCACAGTGGCTCACGCCTGTAAACCCAATACTTTGGAGGCTGAAGTGAGAGGATTGCTTGAGGCCACCAGTTCAAGACCAGCCTGGGCAACACAGCAAGATCGCATCTCTAGAAAAAAAATTAGCCAGGTGTGGTGACATATGCCTGGAGTCCTAGCTACTTGGGACGGTGAGGTGGGAAGATCGCTGAGCCCAGGAGTTTGAGATGACAGTGAGCTATGATTGTGCCACTGCGCTCCAGCCTGGGTGATGGAGTCAGACTCTGTCTACATAAATAAATAAATAAATAGATAGATAAGAAAAGATAAACCACTGACTAACACACAATATTTATAATACATATACCTGAAAAGGGACTTGTATCTAAAATACATAATGGGCCTTTAGAACTCAATTATAAGACAAGAAAACAATTTAAAATGGACAAACATGGCCAGGTGTGGTGGCTCACCCCTGTAATCTCTGCGCTTTGGGAGGCCAAGGCAGGTGGATCACTTGAGCCCAAGAGTTCAAAATCAGCCTGGGCAACATGACGAAACCCTGTCTCTACTAAAAATACAAAAATTAGCCAGGCATGGTGGTACGTGACTTTAGTCCTGGTTACTTGGGAGGCTGAGGTTAGGGGATCACTTGAGCCCAGAAAGCCGAGGCTGCAGTGAGCTGTGATTGTGCCACTGCACTCCTGGGGAATGAGAGTAGACCCCGTCTCAAACAAACAAACAAACAAACAAACAAACAAACAAGGCAAAAGATTTGAATAGGAACCTCATTAAAGAAGATATATGAATGGCCAACAGGCATATGAAAAAATACTCAACATCATTAGCATCAAAGAAAAGCAAATTAAAACCACAATGATATGGCATTACTCATTTGTTAAAAGGGCTAAAATAGAAAGACTCACAGTACCAAGTGTGAGTGCAGGTGAAGTAATTGGAATTCTCTTCACTCCACCTGTGCACTGATGGTGGGAGTGTTGAAATGTATAGCTGCTTTGGAAGATAGTCTGGCTGTTTCTTACAAAATTAAACATTCTTTTTTTTTTATGACACAGCAGTTCTGCTCCTAGGTATTTATTAACCATAATCATAGCAGCTTTATTTATAATTGTTCAAAATTGGAAAACGAGTGAATAGATAAAGAAATTGTGCGCTATCCATACAACTCAGCAATAAAAAAGAACGAACTACTGAAGTATGCAACTACATGAAAGAATCTCAATACATTATGTTGTCACACCTGTAATTCTAGCACTTTGGGAGGCTAAGGCAGGCAGATCACTTGAGACCAGAAGTTCGAGACCAGCCTGGGCAACATGGCTAAATCCAGTCTCTCTAAAAAAAAAAAAAAAAAAAAAAAAAATAATAATAATAATAATAATAATAATAATAATAAAACAAAAATTAGTCAGGCACGGTGGCTTATGTCTGTAGTCCCAGCTACTTGGGAGCCTGAGGTGGGAGAATCGTTTGAGCCCAGGAGGTTAGGCTGCAGTGAGCCATGATCAGACCACTGCACTTCAGCCTGGGGGACAGAGAAAAATAAAAACATTACGTTGGCTGGGCGCAGTGGCTCATGCCTGTAATCCTAGCGCTTTGGGAGGCCGAAGTGGGTGTATCACAAGGTCAGAAGTTCGAGACCAGCCTGGCCAATATGGTGAAACCCCGTCTCTACTGAAAATACAAAAATTAGCTGAGTGTGGTGGCGGGTACCTCTAGTCCCAGCTACTCGGGAGACTGAGGCAGGAGAATCGCTTGAACCTGGGAGGCAGAGGTTGCAGTGAGCTGAGATCGTGCCACTACACTCCAGCCTGGGTGATAGAGCGAGACTCCGTCTCAAAAAAACAAAAACAAAAACAAAAACAAAAATTATGTTGAGTGAAAGGAGCCAGATCCAAAAGACTATATTGTGTATAATTCCATTTATATGAAGTTCCAGAATAGGCAAAACTTATTTACAGTAAGGGAAAGGAAATAATGGTTCTGAGAGGGGGACATGCGGTGGTGAAACTAATTATGGAAATGACTTTTCAAAAGAATTATTTGTAATATGGCTGGGCTTGGTGGCTCATGTCTGTAATCCTAGCACTTTGGGAGGCCGAGGCGGGTGGATCACCTGAGGTCAGGAGTTCGAGAGCAGCCTGGACAACATGGTGAAATCCCCTCTCTACTAAAAATACAAAAATTAGCCGGGCGTGGTGGTGCATGCCTGTAGTCCCAGCTACTCAGGTGGCTAAGGCAGGAGAATTACTTGAATCTGGGAAGCAGAGGTTGCAGTAAGCTGAGATCACGTCACTGCACTCCAGCCGGGGCAACAGAGCAAGACTCCATCCAAAAAAAAAAAAATTATTTGTAATATACTCCATAGCTTAATTGTGTTGGTAGTGTCATGGGTGGGTGCATATGTCAAAATTTATCAAACTGTATACTTAAAATAGTTCTTTTATTATAGGTAAACTGCACCTCATTGAAGTTGATTGAAAAGGCATTTTATAAATTGCTAATTTTATAAAATAGGGTTAAAATATTCACAAGATTTACTTTAAAAAATATAACTGATAATATCTTCCATTTAGTATACTTTATTCTGTGCTTTAACAGGCACCTCAGGACCTGTAGAGAAAGCATGTTTTTTTTTATTTGTTTGTTTGTTTTGTTTTTTTGAGATGGAGTCTCACTCTGTTGCCAGACTGGAGTGCAGTGGCATGATCTCGGCTCACGGCAACCTCTGCCTCCTGGGTTCAACTGATTCTCCTGCCTCAGCCTCCCGAGTAGCTGGGACTACAGGCGTGTGCCACCATACACAGCTAATTTTTGTATTTTTAGTAGAGATGTGGTTTCACCATGTTGGCCAGGGTGGTCTTGATCTCTTGACCTTGTGATCCGCCTGCCTTGGCCTCCCAAAGTGCTGGGATTACAGGCGTGAACCACTGTGCCCAGCCGAGAAAGCATGTTTTTTAAAAAACATTATAATCTACAAAAAGTAATCAATTAAAAGTTCAAAAGTTTCAAACTAACTTTAAAATGCAACTTTGAAGAACAATTTTCTGAAAAATTTAAAAATAATACCTTTGTCAGAAAAATACTAGTGCTGTGGTATTAAAAACAAATCCACTCAAGGAATTGATTCAAGCATGTGATATTCACCAAGGATGATTGTTCTGATTATGTTATTTGTTAATGTTTTGATGATCAACATATTAAAAGTTTAAAAAATTTTGCTTGAATGTCCCCCACTATCTGTCTACATATCTAGATGTAGACAGATAAGTTTTAGTATTTTAAAATAATTTCCTTTTTGAAAAGTTTTCAAATAGATCTTTAAAAAGATTTACCAATATAATAAAAATGTTTTAGTCAATAAATTTATATATATATAATTTTAATTATTTTTATGACCATTTTCACTTTCAAATGTGTCATGATCTGGATAATATATTATATAGTCATCTTGTCTATGAATGTAACACAAACTTCCATAGTTGGGTATTCATGAATCTCTGCTTTTTAATACCCATTCTGCTCCTGTCAAATGGAACTATTCACTTTTCCACATCCAAGTAAGCATTCCTCAGCCCCATTCCCACTTCCACATAACTGTTTCCTACCCTTTCTCCAAGGTCCCAGTTAACTCCTCTATGAAGTCCTTCTTTTTTTTTTTTCCCAAGAGGGGGTTTCACTCTTATGCCCAGGGTGGAGTGAAGTGGCGTGATCTTGGCTCACTGCAACCTCTGTCCCCCAAGTTCAAGCGATTCTCCTGCCTCAGCCTCCGGAGTAGTTGGAATTACAGGCGCCCGCCACACTCAGCTAATTTTTGCATTTTTAGTAGAGACGGGGTTTCGTCATGTTGGTCAGGCTGGTCTCGAACTCCTGACCTCAGGCAATCTACCCGCCGCAGACTCCCAAAGTGGGAAGCCCTTCTTTTTAGCCAGATCTTTGTCCCTGTAGCACTTTAATTCTCTTTAACTTATCACATTTTAAATCCCTATTTTTTATATGCACATTTTATCACCTCTTCTTTCCTCCAAGTGCTTTAAGGCCAGGGGTATTAATAATCTTATTCGTCTTTATATCACTCTCAGGTCCTACTATAGTACCTGGCACTGAGTATGCACTCAATAAACACTTGTTATATAAATGAATATGTGAAAGAAAGAGCAAAGGAACCAACAAATGAATGAATGACTCATGAATGAAAACTCTAGGTGGCTCACTCCTGTAATCCCAGCACTTTGAGAGGCCGAAGCGGGCAGATCACTGGAGGCCAGGAGTTCAAGACCAGCCTGGCCAACATGGTGAAACCCCATGTCTACTAAAAATACAAGAAAAAACAAAAAAAATTTAGCCAGATGTAATAGCATGCACCTGTAAATCCTAGCTACTGGAGAGGCTGAGGCAGGCGAATTGCTTGAACCTGGTGGGTGGAGGTTTCAGTGAGCTGAGATCACGCCACTGCACTCCAGCCTGGGTGACAGAGCGATACTCTGTCTCAAAAAAATAAAAATAATAAAATAAAATGAAACTCTATTTAGCACGCATGCTGAGTGTAGTTACCACTGCCTTTGATCTATTGGCACCCATGAAGTAGTGAAACAGATTTTTAAGTTCTTTTTATTTTCATTTGATTTGTGATCATTGGTTAATTCCCAAATACAATTTAAGATAAAGTCGGTGTACATGGAGTAGCTTAAAATCTTTCTTTCTCACTCCTTCCGATTTCTTGTGGTTTACTAGAATGCTTTTGACATCCTGCTGCAAAAGAAGAGGAAAGTTCTGAAGTGTCCTGATTCAAAGGTCCTGGTCCATGGTTTCTCCTTCCACCAGGACAACCTGTTCCAGTGTGGAGGCAGGGGTCCGGACAACAGCCCTGACACTGACGTGGGATGCCCATTGTTTGCAGATCCTGTTCCCAAGTTTCTTCATGGGGAAGAGCTGATCATAATTTTATCTGATCATAGTTCAGGCTGAGCTAGGGCACACAGACATCATGGTTTGGAATTTTTTTGTATATCCTCCATAATGTGTACATTGCCTTATACATAGTGCATGCTCATGACTCAAAAATAACTCACTGAATTAACAAATGAATGAACAATCTAATCATCACATAAAGCAGGAAGGGCTGCCCTTTTGTCCAGAATTGTGAAACTGCGGGCTTCCAGGGATGTGGGAGTGCTGTCTTGCCCTGCCTCCTATCTTTCTAACTTTAGCCACCACTTTAGAGGTAGCATTTAGCTCCAGTGACACGAATCTACCAATGAGGCTTACACTTTGCATAAACTCTGCTCTACTGCCAAAAACTTAAAGCTGAATTAAAACAATGAAATATCCATCAGCCAGTGTTTGTCAGGCACTAACTGTATATGTGTGCAACACTCTTGTGAAACTTACAGAATTTACAAATAAAATGCAGCACACCATTCTTGCTCTTCGAGAACTTTAAATCTTTTCAGGACTAATATGAAAATATTCACAGACAAAAAATGCAAAACTTTATAAATAACACAATATTGAATTGAGTGGTTCAGAAAATAAGGAGGTGCTGAGTTTAGAGAAGTTGATTGAGCTGAATAAAGTTTTGCTGTAGAGGTGGCTGGTATTCACTTGTCAGCAAATATTGTGCAGGTTGTTTCTGAGAATCTATTTGGATATTGCAGCCCAAATTCTTTTTTTTTTTTTTTTTTTGAGATGGAGTCTCGCTCTGTCGCCCAGGCTGGAGTGCAGTGGCGCGATCTCGGCTCAGTGTAAGCTCCGCCTCCCGGGTTCACGCCATTCTCCTGCCTCAGCCTCCCAAGTAGCTGGGACTACAGGCGCCTGCCACCAAGCCCGGCTAATTTTTTTGTATTTTTAGTAGAGACGGGGTTTCACAGTGTTAGCCAGGATGGTCTCGGTCTCCTGACCTTGTGATCCGCCCACCTCGGACTCCCAAAGTGCTGGGATTACAGGCGTGAGTCACCGCGCCCGGCCTTGTAGCCCAAATTCTTTATCCTGATTCTGACATGCTTATAAGCCATTACTGGTTCCCTAAGTGTCTTGCCATCTTTCTGGTCCTAAGGGTTGGGTAGTGAGCTCTAGGCACGAGCTCTCCATCAGGTGTAGAGCAGCATATCTGGAAGCAGGCTGGGCCAGGTAGAGTATTTATGTCGCTCCAGAGGTGTGGAGCTAGGGGGAAAAAACCAAAGAAGTGGAAAATGAACAATGGGTAGAAACTACTAGATATTAGGGATAAGGAGAGGTAATAATCAGGAAAATGACTTGCTAGGCCATAAGAAGCTCTGGCAGGTCAAGAGAGAGATACAAGATGTCCTGAGTGGTTCTGGAACTGTGAACGTTGTAGGGATGCTGGAAGCCCGAAGTGGCCAGGGTGGAAAAAGGGAGGCAAGTATTAGAATGCGACGGGACTACGCAGAAGTGAGGCCATGATAGAGAAACCTTGTTTTAACAACCACCAGTTAAAGATTAGTCAATCCAGGAAGTCCAGAAATAGGATTTTGACCCAGTCACTGTCTTGGGGAGTCCCAACCTGAGTGCAAAATTTTCAGTTCTGTTATTGCCGGTGCTGTCATCTGTATCAAGACTGTATTATTATTATTAAGAGTATTAGAATGTATTTAGATTGATTCATCCATGTGACCTCTACTCACCATATACCAGTCTCACTGGCTCCTTCCTTCCTTCCTTCCTTCCTTCCTTCCTTCCTTCCTTCCTTCCTTCCTTCCCTTCTTTCCTTCTTTCTTTCCTTCTTTCTTTCTTTTTTTGATGGAGTCTCACTCTGTTGCCCAGGCTGGAGTGCAGTGGTGCAATCTCAGCTCACTGCAACCTCTGTCTCCCGGGTTCAAGTAATTTTCCTGCCTCAACCTCCCGAGTAGCTGAGATTACAGGTGCATGCCACCACACCTAGCTAATCTTTTGTATTTTTAGTAGAGACAGGGTTTTGCCACATTGGCCAGACTGGTCTCCAGCTCCTGATCTCAAATGATCCGCTGCCTCAGCCTCCCAAAGTGCTGAAGTTATAGGACGTGAGCCACTGTGCACAGCCCACTGGCCTTTTTCAATTTTTTATTTTTGTATATGAGGCATATTTGCACTGTAAGGCCTTTGCACATGCTGTTCCCTCTGCAGATAATTACTTTGCTTTGGGTCTTCAAATGTCACACCCTCAGACCACCCGGTCTAACATTGCTTCTGCTCCATCCTCAACTTGGCTGAGCCTCTACTGGACATTTCTGGGTTGGATCCAACCTGGGATAGGCCACCCTGTCTAAGGAGACTTGTCCACATCCCCCAGAGGCTGCTTAGTTGTGCTTGGTGACACAGCAAAGGACAGGATTGATGATTTGGAGGAGCCAGGGAAGTGGCTCCAGGACCAGCCAGCCAGCAAAGGCCACTTAAACTTAGCTTTTTCTGAATTAGTTAAGATGACTAGAAAAAAACAGAAAACAGAATGTGGTCAGCGACAGAATACTTTAATGATTGAAAACATAGAATCAGTAAAACATGGTCATCCTTGGCCCACCAAGAAATTGGTAGGTTTGGCAGTGCAGAGTTATCAAAGCCAAATATTCGCAAGTTCTTAAAGAAGTGAGAACATTAAAAATATAAATCAAGGAAAAGAGTATTAAAGCATCTTGCTGAGGTGCTTTTAACATTAAGCCATTCTTACCCCTGATGTGAAAACTGACAAAAGTTCAGTCCATTGGTTCAAGAGGTCTTGGTTGGTCACGCAGGCATCCACTGCTAGAAACCATGATAGCGATCTATTTAGATAAAGGCTCTGAATAAAAGAGCAGAGACTTCTCAGTCAATTCTCACTGACTCTATAAAAGACATCTATTCAACTCTGTGATTTTTATCACCTCTGTAGATAATAATGATCTTATGATTTTTGAAGTAATATGCCTAAGATTTCTGAATCCCATATTAGAATAAAATGATCTAGCAATGGGATAGACTATTACAAGTAGGACTGTTTTTTTCCTTATCTAACATCAACTTATCCATCCTTAGGAATAATCAAATTTTGGGCATGGAACCAATACCAAAATATGAACTTATCCTTTCCCTCCATTTGTATGTGGCCTCAAAGCCATGGGGTGGTTGAGGGGGTGACATTTGAAGACCCAATGCAAAGGAATTGTCTGCAGAGGGAACAGCATGTGCAAAGGCCCAATGGTGCAAATATGCCTTATATGCATAAAAAAAAATAGAAAAAGGCCAGTAGGCCGGGTGCAGTGGCTCACACCTGTAACCCCAGAACTTTGGGAGGCCAAGGTGGATGGATCACTTGAGGTCAGGAGTTCGAGAACAGCCTGGCCAACATGGCGGAACCCCATATCTACTAAAAATCCAAAAATTAGCCGAGCGTGGTGGCTGCGTGCCTGTAATCCCAGCTACTAGGGAGGCTGAGGCATGAGAATCGCTTGAACCCGGGAGGCGGAGGTTGCAGTGAGCTGAGATTGCGCCACTGCACTCCAGCCTGGGTGACAGAGCAAAACTCCGTCTCAGCAAAAAAAAAAAAAAGAAAAGAAAGAAATAGAATAGATGAATAGTCTGAAAGTGTAATGGATTGCATGTGGCTTAACAGATCCATTTTTCATGAGATGCCCTGGTGGTTGTCAGCTGTCTTCTAGGTGAGATTAAAACTTGGCCACTCTTTCAGTTAATAGCAGTGTCTAGGGGTTGTGAGGCCATCCTCTAAGGTTGTATCAGTAAAAACATGATTTAAAAAGGCTTGCCCCCTACTTGCCTTTACCAATAATGGCCAAGACTTAGAGGTAGATGTGAGGCCTGTGCTTCGAATGCACCATAACCTTTCCAGAGAAGTTTTGGGCTGGGCTCCACTTCGGGGCTCCAAGCCAGGGTGGACCATGTGTGTGCTGCTCTGCTCAGCTCTGCGAGTTCAAGGACAGGCCTGGCTCCTCTTTTCTAAGCTCGGCTCAGGTCTTCAGCCAGCTTACCCACTTAGGAAGTTCCCCTGCCCTTGTGGAGAACAAACATTTGTAAAAGATGGCCTGGAACTTTGTTCCGGTTTCATTTAGACAGGCCAACTATGCCAAAGGCAAATCCTAGCAGCAGCAGAAGAAAGAACTGGACATTGCATTCTCTCTGCAAAAAGGAAGATGGTGTCGGGCCCCTCCTTGTGGGCTCATGATGACATAGTCAAGGGTGTAAATGAGCCTGATTTTTTCCCCCTTTCTCTTCTTTCCTCCCATAGACAACAAGATTCATGGTGTTTTCCCTAATTTTATCTTCATTAATCTTATTAATAGGTTTTGGCAAAGTTTGTTCCATCAGCACTCTCCATGGGGAATGTTTTCTTTACCAAAGTTCACGATTCTCCTATTCAAATCCCTAATTTCCATGGTTTCACTTCAGTGCTTTAGTGCTCCTGAGGCCTTTCAGGAATGAGCTCAATTATCAACCCCGAGTGAATCTGAAACCTGATTCAGTCTTCTTATGGTCTGATTAAAACAATGCGCTTTTATAAATGTCACTAAAGAAATCGTCAAACCTCAACTGCTAGAGGTTGGCCAGGCAATAATTTCCTCCTGTGAACTTGTGGCTTATTATCTTTCAAATATTTGAAGCAGATCAGTGGTCTGGTGGTCATTGTGTGTCTTAGGAGGTTAAGATTTTACTGTGAAAAACATTCCTTATGATTCTTGGCACGCACATTCCAAAAAAAAAAATTCTATCAAGACCTGACAGTTATAAAATTAATTATTTGAGCTTGAACAATTCAAAAGCATCATCAAATTAAAACAAGGTAATTTGGCACAGAGGTTATTGCTCATCATGTCTTCTAATTACTTTTCTGTATTTTGAAAAAACAAAAACAAAACATTAAGTGCTGAGATAATGAACTTTGGGGGCGGCATTCCGCAGCAGTCCCCTTGGTGATGGAAAACAGCACTGACTTCCAAACAGACCCATCTGATCTTTCCCAGAAGGATGTGGGTTATTATAGGATGTGGCGACTCTGACACTCAGTCTCTTCAGAACACCTTTACAACACATGAACACGAACCACATGCATGTCTCTGGCAGCAAGGGAGAATAAAAAGAAAAAGAGACTCAAGAGTGCTTTTTAAAAAATTCAACTTTATTGAAGCATAATTGACATTTAATTAAGTGCATTATTTTAGGTGTGTAGTTCTGAGTCTTGACACTTATGCACACTGTAGTGTACCCACCAGTACAATCAAGATATAATACATTTCTGTCACCCCCAAAACCTCCTGGTGTCTGTCACAGTCAATCCCCACAATCCATCCCACTTTCCAGCCCCAGGGAAACTGTTTTCCATTGCGATAAAGTAGAATTTCATATACATAGAATCACAGGGTGTTACTCTTCAATATTTGACTTCTTTCATTCAGCAAAATGTTTTTTATTTTTATTTTTATTTGAGACAGAGTCCCGCCCTGTCACCCAGGCTGGAGTGCAACCTCCACCTCCCGGGTTCAAGCAATTCTCCTGCCTCAGCCTCCCTAGTAGCTAGGATTACAGGTGCCCACCACCATGCTCAGCTAATTTTCGTATTTTTAGTAGAGACCAAGTTTTGCCAAGTTGGTCAGGTTGGTCTCAAACTCCTGACCTCAAGTGATCTGCTTTCCTTGGCCTCCCAAATTGCTGGGATTATAGGCATGAGCCACCACGCCCAGCCAGCAAAAATGTTTTCTAAAATTCATCCGTGTTGCCACATGCATCAATAGTTTCTTCTTTTTGATTGCTGAGCGGTATTCCATTGTGTGAATGTTACCAAAATTTGTTTATTCATTCACCCATTGGTGGACATTCGGGTTTTTGCCAATTCTTTTTTTTTTTTTTTTTTAACAGAGACTTGCTCTGTTACCCAGGCTGGAGTGCAGTGGCACGATCTTGGCCCACGGCAGCCTCTGCCTCCCAGGTTCAAGCAATTCCCCTGCCTCAGCCTCCTGAATAGCTGGGATTACAGGCACCTGCCACCATGCCTGGCTAATTTTTTTGTATTTATAGTAGAGACAGGGTTTCACCATGTTGGCTGGGCTGATCTCAAACTCCTAACCTCAAATGACCCACCTGCCTCAGCCTCCCAAAGTGCTGGGATTATAGGCATGAGCCACTGTGCCCGGCCTTTTTGTGCTATTTGAATAAAGCTGCTGTAAGTCTTTTTGTGGATAATCACATCTTTTTTAAAAGAATAAGTAGGCCAGGCCTGATGGCTCACACCTGTAATCCCAGCGCTTTGGGAGGATTAATCAGGAGGGTTGTTTGAGGCCAGGAGTTTGAGACCAGCCTGGACAACATAGTGAGACCCCCATCGCCACAAAAAATAAAAAACATTAGGCAGGTATGGTGGTGCTCACCTGTATTCCTAGCTACTTTGGAGGCCACAGCTGGAGAATTGCTTGAACCCAGGAGTTGGAGACTACAGTGAGCTTTGATTACACTACTGCACTCCAGCCTAGGTGGCAGAGCCACACCCTGTCTCAAAAAAAAAAAAAAAAAAAGAAGAATAAATATAAGAAACCTAAAAACCTTATGCAAAGGCCATAGTTCTGATGTCAAACAAGAGAAGCAGGTAATGTAAGTGAGGGAAGCAGGCTAGGTATAAGACAAGGGGAGTGGTAGGGACTATGGCAATCGGCCACAGGAAGAGTTTGAAACTCCTAGTTTACAGAAATAATGTTAAGAAATTCGAAGATTTAATAAACTCAAATTCTCAAAAGAAAAAGCTTTACAGGTCAGTGCATTCCTTTGGGTCAAGGAACAAAGAGCCCTTTTCAGACTTTCTCCTTCCCACAGGCATCATGGCATAAAACCCAAGAACATGAAATCTGGGCTTAGATAGCCTTGGGTTTGAATTCTTGATCCACACTTAATAGTTGTGTGACCCTGGTCAAATATCCCCAACTCTCTGAACCTTAGTTTCCTTATTTGTAAAAATGGGGATAAAAATAACACCTACCTCCTAGGGTAGTGGTAAAGAATAAATAAAGACATGGGTGGAGTTAGCCTAAACATTTGCAGAAATTCCTGGCTGCATGCCAGGCACTTTACTGTCATCATTTTGTTTTATTAAAACCTCATCCCAAGGAGAACTACAAACCACTGATCAATGAAATAAAAGAGGACACAAACAAATGGAAGAACATTCCATGCTGCGGATAGGAAGAATCAATATCATGAAAATGGCCATACTGCCCAAGGTAATTTACAGATTCAATGCCATCCTCATCAAGCTACCAATGACCTTCTTCACAGAATTGGAAAAAACTACTTTAAAGTTCATATGGAACCAAAAAAGAGCCCGCATTGCCAAGTCAATCCTAAGCCAAAAGAACAAAGCTGGAGGCATCACGCTACCTGACTTCAAACTATACTACAAGGCTACAGTAACCAAAACAGCATGGTACTGGTACCAAAACAGAGCTATAGACCAATGGAACAGAACAGAGCCCTCAAAAATAATACCACACATCTACAAGTATCTGATCTTTGACAAACCTGACAAAAACAAGAAATGGGGAAAGGATTCCCTATTTAACAAATGGTGCTGGGAAAACTGGCTAGCCATATGTAGAAAGCTGAAACTGGATCCCTTCCTTACACCTTATACAAAAATTAATTCAAGATGGATTAAAGACTTAAATGTTAGACCTAAAACCATAAAAACCCTAGAAGAAAACCTGGGCAATACCATTCAGGACATAGGCATGGGCAAGGACTTCGTGTCTAAAACACCGAACGCAATGGCGACAAAAGCCAAAATTGACAAATGGGATCTAATTAAACTAAAGAGCTTCTGCACAGCAAAAGAAACTACCATCAGAGTGAACAGGCAACCTACAGAATGGGAAAACATTTTTGCAATCTACTCATCTGACAAAGGGCTAATACCCAGAATCTACAATGAACTCAAACAAATTTACAAGGAAAAAACAAACAACCCCATCAACAAGCAGGCAAAGGATATTAACAGACACTTCTCGAAAGAAGACATTTATGCAGCCAAAAGACACATGAAAAAATGCTCATCATCACTGGCCGTCAGAGAAATGCAAATCAAAACCACAAGGAGATACCATCTCACACCAGTTAGAATGGTGATCATTAAAAAGTTAGGAAACAACAGGAGCTGGAGAGGATGTGGAGAAATAGGAACACTTTTACACTGTTGGTGGGACTGTAAACTAGTTCAACCATTGTGGAAGTCAGTGTGGCGATTCCTCAAGGATCTAGAACTAGAAATACCATCTGACCCAGCCATCCCATTACTGGGTATATACCCAAAGGATTATAAATCATGCTGCTATAAAGACACATGCACACGTATGTTTATTGCAGCACTATTCACAATAGCAGTGACTTGGAACCAACCCAAATGTCCAACAATGATAGACTGGATTAAGAAAATGTGGCACATATATGCCATGGAATACTATGCAGCCATAAAAAAGGATGAGTTCATGTCCTTTGTAGGGACATGGATGAAGCTGGAAACCATCATTCTCAGCAAACTATCGCAAGGACAAAAAACCAAACACCGCATGTTCCTACTTATAGGTGGGAATTGAGCAATGAGAACACATGGACACAGGAAGGGGAACATCACACACTGGGGCCTGTGGTGGGGTGGGGGGAGGGGGTTGGAATAGCATTAGGATATATACCTAATGTGAAATGACAAGTTAATGGGTGCAGCACACCAACATGGCACATGTATACATATGTAACAAACCTGCACGTTGTGCACATGTACCCTAAAACTTAATGTATAATAAAATATATATACTTATATACATACTTATATATATTATATATACTTATATATAAAATATATATACTTATATGTATAAAATATATAAATACTTATATGTATAAAATATATATACTTATATGTATAAAATATACATATATACTTATATGTATAAAATATATATACTTATATGTATAAAATATATATACTTATATGTATAAAATATATATACACTTATATGTATAAAATATATATACACGTATATGTATAAAATATATATACACGTATATGTATAAAATATATATACACGTATATGTATAAAATATATATACACATATATATAAAATATATATACACTTATATATATAAAATATATATACTTATATATATAAAATATGTATACTTATATATAAAATATATATACTTATATATAATATATACTTATATATAATATATATACTTATATATAATATATACTTATATATAATATATATACTTATATATAAAATATATATATACTTATATATAATATATATTATATATAATATATATATAAAATATATATATACTTATATATAATATATATTATATATAATATATATAAGATATATACGTATATATATAAGATATATATACGTATATATATAAGATATATATACGTATATATATAAGATATATATACGTATATATATAAGATATATATACGTATATATATAAGATATATGTATACGTATATATAAGATATATGTATACGTATATATAAGATATATGTATACGTATATATATAAGATATATGTATACGTATATATATAAGATAGATGTATACGTATATATATAAGATAGATGTATACGTATATATAAGATGTATACGTATATATATAAGATAGATGTATACATATATATAAGATAGGTGTATACGTATATATAAGATAGGTGTATACGTATATATAAGATAGGTGTATACGTATATATATAAGATAGATGTATACGTATATATATAAGATAGATGTATACGTATATATATAAGATAGATGTATACGTATATATATAAGATAGATGTATACGTATATATATAAGATAGATGTGTGTGTGTGTATGTACATATATATATATATATATATATAAAATAAAACCTCATCCTAGCCTGGGCAACATGGTGAAATCCCATCTCTACAAAAAATACAAAAATTAACTGGGCATGGTGGCGTGCACCTGTAGTCCCAGCTACTCAGGAGGCTGAGGTGGGAGGATCACCTGAACCTGGGAATAAGAGGCTGCAGTGAGTTGTAATGGCTCCTGAGCATATCAGACCTGTAGGCAAGGGGCCAGCAGGGCTGGAATGGTTGGGGAAAGGTGAGCTTTGCCCCAAATGTGTGGAGAGATGCATCCAGGGTTGCCAAGACTGTCACAGCCAGAGCTGGTGGTTCTGTCTCTGCTTTCATCACTTGGCTTCCTGCCTGAGACTCAGTTTCTTGTTTAGCAAAATGGGATGAAGTCTTTTTTTTGAAACGAGGTCTCACTCTGTCACCCAAGCTGGAGTGGAGTGGTGAAATCATGGCTCACTGCAGCCTCAACCTCCCAGGCTCAAGCAATCTGCCTGCCTCAGCCTCCTGAGTAGCTGAGGCTACAGGCTGCACCCCCATGCCCAGCTAATTTTTGTATTTTTCGTAAAGAAGAGGTCTCGCCTTGTTGCCCAGGCTGGTCTCAAACTCCTGCGCTCAAGTGACCCACCAACCTGGACCTTCCAAAGTGCTGGGATTACAGGTGTGAGACACTGTACCATCGGAACTATTTTTGTTTTTGTTTTATTATTACTATTATTATTTTTGAGATAGAGTCTTGCTCTGTCACCCAGGCTGGAGTGCAGAGGCGCGATCTCAGCTGGCCACCATTCCCAGCTAATTTTTGTATTTTTTAGTAGACATGGGGTTTCGCTATGTTCGCTAGGCTGGTCTGGAACTCCTGGCTTCAAGAGATCCTCTGGCCTCGGCCTTCCAAAGTGCTGGGATTGGAGGTGTGAGCCTCCGCGCCCAGCCTCAGTGTAGTTTTAATTTGTAGACTTGTTACTATGAAAGAGGATGAGCATCTTTTTATATATTAAAGAGCTGTTTGTATATCTTTCTCTATAAACTGCATGGTTATGTTTTATGTTCATATTTCTATAAGGTTTTGCAGTTTTTCCTCTCAATTTTAAGAGGCCTGTATGTATTAGGGAAATTGACCCTTTGTAATAAGAGTTGCAAATACCTCCCACCGTTTGTCTTTTGTTGTTATTGCCGCTGTTTGCATATGGTGTTCTTTTGTTTCTCCATAAGAAGTTTTTAATGCATTTAAATTTATCATTTTTTTATTGCTTCTAGGCTTTGAGTCATAGTTAGAAAGGTTATGGAGCAATTTGCCTGTGTTTCCTTTTAGTAATTTTCTGATTTTATTTGTTACATTTAGGTCTTTGATCCATTTAGCATTTATTTCAGTAATACTGTAACTTTTCAAACAAATTTTATTTTGGCATTTGATGTTTATCTCATATTTCAGGATTAATCCATTCAGTGTTTTCATATTTTATTATTGATGTCGCTTCTGAATTTAAGTGTTATATGTTAATTATAGATGAATGAAAAGTAAAAGTAAAAAGAAGCAGAAAAAAATTCCAAAGATTTTACATATATGCATATTTTAATTTTTTAAAATCATATTTTACATTATGATGATAATACTGCTTATACAATTGTACATCCTCCTCTTTATTGCTTAACATTCTAGTACAAGCACTTTCCCATGGTACTAAAAGCTCTTTATAGACATGCATTTTAGCACCTGCAAAATGGTCCATAATTCAGATATATTATTATTTACTTACCGATTTTCACATTGTCGACTCACTTTTTTGGTCACTCTTTCATTTGTATAACTCTGAGATGACTGTAGCTGGGTGATTCAGTTCAGGAGATAGATTCCAGAAGAGGAATTGCTTTGTGAAAGCTTAAACACATTTTTTTAAAGGATCTTTTACATTGGGCTGGATTGTGCTGTAGAAAGGCAGTAGCAATTAATATTGCCACCAGCAATATATGATACTGTCACCACACCTTAGTAAAGCATTTTCTTTTTTTGAGACAAGGTCTTGCTCTGTCCCCCAGGTTGGATTGCAGTGGTGCATCCTTGCTCACTGCAGCCTTGAACTCCTGGGCTCAAGAAATCCTCCTGCCTCAACCTCCTAGTAGCTGGGAACTACAGGTGCATGCCACCATGTCCCACTATTTTTTTTCTTTTTTTTTTGTAGAGACAGAGTCTTGCTCTGTTGCCCAGGTTGGTTGCTCCTGGCTTCAAGCGATCCTCCCACCTCAGCCTCCCAAAGTGCTAGGATTACAGGCATGAACTACCATGCCTGGCGTACTATAGCATTTTTGAAAATATCTTCTTCCAACAAACTTTTTTTTTTTTTTTTAAAGAAAGTAAAATTTAGTCCAGGTCCTGTGACTCATGACAGTAATACCAGCACTTTGGGAGGCTGAGGCAGGCAGATCACCTGAGGTCAGGAGTTCCAGACCAGCCTAACCAACATGGAGAAACCCTGTCTCTACTAAAAATACAAAATTAGCTGGACGTGGTGGTGCATACCTGTAATCCCAGCTACTCGGGAGGCTGAGGCAGGAGAATTGCTTGAACCCGGGAGGCGGAGGTTGCGGTGAGCTGAGATCAAACCATTGCACTCCAGGCTGGGCAACAAGAGTGAAATTCCATCTCCAAAAAAAAAAAAAAGTGAAATATTTAGTGTAGATCAAACAAAATAAAAGGTATTTAGAATATCTTTGCCTTGACAAGTAAATTTAGTTTTATGCACCTTTAGTGTTGTATAAGTCAACATAGCAGTGTTTATACAATTAAAACACTACTAAAACTTCAGATGTGTAATTTCCACCCATTTAATAAAAATATTTTATATTAATTCTTTCAGCAAATATTTATTGCATGTCTCCTATGTAGCAGGCACTATTTGGGCCACATGAGATATATCAGTGAACAAAACAGACAGCCCTTCACATATTTAAGTTACCTGGCCAAGCCCTGAAGGCATTTGACTTTGCAGCATTTTTCTATACATATGTTTTCTTGTATTTATTTTTTTTGCAAATATTTACTCATTCATCTATTAAACACATATATATTGATTGCTCACGCTGTGCCACATATTTTTCTAGGAGCTCAGGATAAACCAGTAAACAAAACAAAGAACCTCAGGAAATTTGTCTTCTATTGGGGGAGCATACAGTAAAACATACACATGACAAAGCAGTACATTATATAATATGTTAGAAGATGGTAAGTGCGGCTGGGCGCAGTAGCTCATGCCTGTAATACCAGCACTTTGGAAGGCTGAGGCGGGTGGATCATGAGGTCAAGAGATCGATACCATCCTGGCCAACATGGTGAAACCCTGTCTCTACTAAAAATACAAAAATTAGCTGGGCATGGTGGCATGTGCCTGTAGTCCCAGTACTTGGGAGGTTGAGGCAGGAGAATCACTTGAACCCGGGAGGCAGAGGTTGCTGTGAGACGAGACCCTGCCACTGCATTCCATCCAGCCTAGTGACAGAGTGAGACTCAGTTTCAAAAAAAAAAAAAAAAAAAAAAAAAAAAAGGATGGTAAGTGCTATGGGAAAACAGGGTGGGGAGCAGTCAGTGGCAGTGGGCTATGTAAGTGGGGCATCCTAACACCAATTTTTTTATTTTTTATTTTTATTTTTGAGATGGTGTCTCTCTCTGTCACCCAGGCTGGAGTGCAGTGGCACCATCGCTGCTCACTGCAACCTCTGCCTCCCAGGTTGAAGTGATTCTCCTGCCTCAGCCTCCCGAGCAGCTGACAAATAAATTTAGTTTTATGCACCTTTAGTGTTGTATAAGTCAATATAGATATATCTATAGATATATCATGGCACTCCACCATGCCTGGCTAATTTTTGTATTTTTAGTAAAGATGGGGTTTCACCATGTTGGCCAGGCTGGTCTCGAACTCCTGACCTCAGGTGATCCACTTGCCTTGGCCTCCCAAAGTGCTGGGAATACAGGTGGGAACCATCGTGCGCAGCCAGATTGTTAATGTCTTATATAACCATAGCACAGTTATCAAAACCAGGAAATTAACATTGAGACAATTTAATTTTCACCAGTTTTTTTCTGTAATTTCTTTTTCTGTTCCAAGTTCTTACCCAACAGGCCCGTCATATCGAGTTATTTGGTCTCCTCAGTCTCCTCCAGTCTGTAAATTTCTTGCTCTTTCCATGGCTTTCATGACCTCAATACTCTTGAAGCCTATCCTACCATTATGTAGTGTCCCGCCATTTGGGTTTTGGATGTTTTCTCATGATTGGAATGACGTTATTTATTTTTGGCCAGAATACTTCAGAAATGATGTCGTGCCTTCTAAGATTAAAGAGTTCAGGATGTCAGTTCTTATTGTTGGTGACTTAAACTTGGTCCATTTGGTTAAGGCATTGTCTGCCAGATTTCTCCGTTGTAGAGTTACTATCTTTCCCTTTGTAGTTAATAAATATCTTGGGAGAGACACTTTGAAACTTTGAAACACCTCACACTCTTGCCTGCTGCTTATGGCATCCATTTGTGGATGTTGTCTGCAGCAAGTATTATTGTGATATTTGACTAATGGTGATTTTCTACTTCCTTCTTCCCTTCTTCATTCGTTTGTTGGAATTCTACTGTAAAGAAGAGCTGTCTCAACCATTATGGAAAACAGTGTGGAGGTTTCTCAAAAAACTAAAAATAGAACTACCATACGATCCAGCAATCCTACTCACTACTGGATATTTATCTGAAGGAAAGGAAATTAGCATATCAAAAAACTCCCATGTTTATTACAGCACTGTTCACAATAGTTAAGACACGGAATCAGCCTAAAAGTCTATCAACAGATAAATGGATAAAGAAAATGTGGTATATATACTTAATGGAATACTACTCAGCCATAAAAAGGAACAACATCCTGTCATTTGTGGCAACATGGATGAGCCTGGAGCACATTACGTTAAAGTAAAATAAGTAAGGCACAGAGAACAAAGACTGCATATCCTTGCTCATATGTAGGAGCTAAACAAAAATTGAGCTTGTAGAAGTAGAGAGTAGAATTGTGGGTAATAGAGGCTGGGAAAGGGAGCGGGAGAAGAGGTTGGGGAGAGGTTGATTAATGGATACAAAATTACAGCTAGATAGAAGGAATAAGTTCTGGTGTTCTGCAGCATTGCAGCCTGAAAATGATTAACTGTATTTTTTTTTTTTTTTTAAGAGACAGGGCCTCACTGTGTCGACCAAGCTGGAGTGCAGTGGCACGATCATAGCTCACTACGATCTCCAACTCCTGGACTCCAGCAATCTTCCCATTTCAGTCTCATGAGTAGCTAGCACTACAGGTGTGTGCCACCACACCTGGCTAATTTTTTAAATTTTGTGTACAGATGAGGTCTCACTTCCAATTCCTGACTTCAAGTGGTCCTCCTGCCTCGGCCTCCCAACATGCTGGGATTACAGGCATGAGCCACTGCACTCAGATCAGCCATTTGTTTATTCAATTACACATTTATATTAGTATGGACTCATGGAAGTTTATTTTATTCTGTAGGCAAAATTCAGTAGTATCAAAGTTTATTTTGTTGCTCAAATTGTTCTAATTTGTCCATAAGGAGCTCCTCAGCTTGGCTTGTGTTTTCTTTTGCTATGCCTCATCTGATTTTGAGCACATTCTTACTTTCTGGCTTTACAGATTTTTCCAGACTCATCTAGTGTTTTCCCTAATCCTGGCTTGCCACTTTTCCAAGGAGCTCTGGTTCCTTTTACTGAAGGATGGTGTTTAGAAGCTGAGATCCGGGGCTGGGCGCTGTGGCTCACACCTGTAATCCCAGCACTTTGGGGGGCCGAGGCAGCTGGATCATGAGGTCAGGAGATCAAGACCATCCTGGCTAACCTGGTGAAAACCTGTCTCTACTAAAAATACAAAAAATTAGCCGGGCGTTGTGGCAGGCGCCTGTAGTCCCAGCTACTCAGGAGGCTGAGGCGGGAGAATCGCTTGAACTGGGGAGGCGGAGGTTGCAGTGAGCCAAGATTGCGCCACTGCACTCCAGACTGGATGACAGAGTGAGACTCCGTCTCAAAAAAAAAAAAAAAAGAAACTGAGATCTAGACATGAGACTGGGTATCATTGCTTCTAGATACTTCCAGCAGACAAAGCTATAAAACTATATATGTATAAACCATGCATATATACCCATCAATGCCACCTATCTTTCTGTATTTGTGTATACATATGTATATATAAATATTTTTGTATCTGTTATTAATATATACTAACATATAATTTCATATATTAATATGCAATTTATATATGTAATGATGGTGATGAGTTAATACTGATTCCTTCGATTCCAGTCCAACATCAGAGAGTTTATTTTAACCTTTCTCCTTTCCTTGTTTAAAACTTCCTTCTCCAACAGTGAGAAACCTGGCTGCAATTATTTACTATCTGTTTACTTATTTGTTCGTTTCGTGTAAATGCTTAATGAGGAACACATTTACTAAATAGAATACAGCATTTATGTATAGTTCTTTTTGTCTTTACCCTGACAATATTCAGTCAAGACACTGTTTTCCATAGTTACCTGAGTTTTCATTGCACTCAGGCTGGAGTACAGTGGAACAATCACAGCTCACTGTAGGCTGGAACTCCTGGGCTCAAGCAATCCTCCCACCTTGGCCTCCCAAAGTTCTGGGATTACAGGCATGAACCACCGTGCCCAGCCTAAATTCTCTCTATATCTGGGTGGATTCAGAGATGTTATTAATCTTTTAAAACTCAGTTATCGACACAGTACTTGGAAATTCAATTACTATGTATAGAATAAAAGAAACAATTAATGTATTTTTTACTTGAAATTTATTAAGAGTATATCTTAAGTGTACTACACATACTACACATACACACATGTAACTATGCTTGGAGATGGATGTGTTGATTAATTTGATTGTGGTAATTATTACACAATGTATATGTATATCAAATCATCACATTGTACAATTGAAATTTATACAGTTTTATTTGTTACCTATATCTCAATAAAGCTAGGAGAAAAATAAAAGCCTCCTGGGTGATTCTAATGTGAAAAAAAGAATTAATATGCTGGCCGGGCGCGGTGGCTCATGCCTCTAATCCCAGCACTTGGGGAGGCTGAGGTGGGTGGATCACAAGGTCAGGAGTTCCAGACCAGTCTGGCCAAAATAGTGAAACCCCGTCTCTACTAAAAATACAAAAATTAGCCGGGTCTGGTGGCACTCGTCTGTAGTCCCACCTACTTGGGAGGCTGAGGCAGGAGAATTGCTTGAAACCGGGAGGCAGAGGTTGCAGTGAGCTGAGATTCTACCATTGCACTCCAGCCTGGGCGACAGAACGGGACTCTGTCTCAAAAAAAAAAAAAAAAAAAGAATCAATATGTAAATACAATTTTTTTTTTTTTTGAGATGGAGTCTCGCTCTGTTGCTGGCCCAGGCTGGAGAGCAGTGGCGTGATTTCGGCTCACTGTAAGCTCCGCCTCCCGGGTTCATGCCATTCTCCCGCCTCAGCCTTCGTAGTAGCTGGGACTACAGGTACCCGCCACCATGCCTGGCTAATTTTTTTTTTTTTTTAATTTTTAGTAGAGACGGGGTTTCACCGAGTTAGCCAGGATGGTCTTGATCTCCTGCCCTCGTGATCCTCCCGCCTCGGCCTCCCAAAGTGCTGGGATTACAGGCGTGAGCCACCTCGCACGGCCAAAAATTTTGATATTCTAAAGGCATAGTTGCAGCAGTATTGGAAACTAAAATGGTGGCATAGGAAAACATGGCAGACAAAGAGAGAAAATACTTAGAAGAACAAATGTAACAGAATCGAACTAAATCAGATGGGAAAAAAATGAGGTACTTACTTTGTAGTTCATCATTGAATTTTATACCTTTTCAACCAGCACTTCTAAGGAGTCTTGCACAAATTTGAGAAATGCCAGTTTGTCAAAGACTTTGCAAAGACTAGGCAGTGCCTATATCAGAATTTAAATTAGCCAGAACACAGAGTTACCCTCATACCATTTTCTTTCTTTTTTTTTTCCTTTTCTTTTTTGAGATGGAGTCTCACCCTGTTACCCAGGTTGGAGTGCAGTGGCGTGATCTTGACTCACTGTAACCTCTGCTTCCTGGGTTCAAGCAATCCTCCTGCCTCAGCCTCCTGAGTAGTGGAATTACAGGCATGCACCACCATGCCCACTTAATTTTTGTATTTTTTAGTAGAGATGGGGTTTCACCATGTTGCCCAGGCTAATCTCGTACTCCTGACCTCAAGTGATCTTCCCACTTGGTCTCCCAAAGTGTTGGGATTACAGGCGTGAGCCACCACACCTAGCCCCTATCATACCATTTTCTTATCCTCAGGTTTCCTTATTTCTAAGGAACCTGAGGAGTCTTCCTTTCGTTTCCTGTGTCTCACTGTAGAACTTTAAACACTTTAGAACAAAATAACACATTTAATCATTTCACATTGTAAATCTCTGGAAAGAAAATGTTATAGTTGGCCACAGATAATTTAAATTTCTAAATAATTTAAATTTTATTGTTCAAAATGGGGGTGAGATTGGAGAAAGGTTTCACCTCTGTTATCTGCTACAGTGGGGCATCTTCCATTGTCACTTTTTTCTAGGTCATGTTTGCAGAAAGTAAGCACAGCATTCTTCATCAAGTCTGTCAGCAAGTGTGTTTTGTTTTTGTTTTTGTTTTTTACAGTGGGGAATGAACTAGATACATTATAACCATAACAAAGTCTACTACAGAAAGAGTTTTCTGAGGAGAGTCTGAGTTAGGTTCTGGTCAGTTGGACTTTTCCTGAAACACGGTCTTGTGTGTGTTCAATCTGGCTTCTAAGCATCTAGTGACCTTGATTTTGCAGCTGTTCCCATGAGTAGTCCTCGTCTGCTAGCAAGCTAGGAGCGCTCACCAAAACAGCACCTTTCCGCCAGCTCCCCACTGAACTCCTCCTTGGCCTTCATGCCTCTTTCTCCTGTCAAATCAGGCTCTCAGGAAAGAATCTGCATGCCTTTACTCAAACTTTCATGAAGTAAAGCTCAAAGCGTGGGAAAGAGAAGGAAACCAGGATCTGAGAGCATACATCAGGTTCTAGGCTAGGGGACCTACTCATATTCCTTAAAACTATATATATTTTATAATATTTATAAATATTATATTTATATATTTATAAATATATGTATATATTTAAAAGTCTAGGCATGGTGGCTGTTGCCTGGAATCCCAACACTTTGGGAGGCTGAGGTGGGTGGATTGCTTGAGCCCAGAAATTTGAGAACAGCCTGGGCAACATAGTGAGACCCCGTCTCTCCAAAAAACCCAAAAAGTAAGTTAGGCATGGTAGTATGTGCCTGTAGTCCCAGCTACTCAGGAGGCTGAGGTGGGAGGATCACCTGAGCCTGGGAAGTTGAGGTTGTAGTGAGCTGTGATCGCACCACTGCACTTTGGCTTGGGTGACACAGTGAGACCCAGTCCCAAAAATAAATAATTATAAAAATAAATATTTTAAGTCTCATGTCCAAAATCGGGAATGAAGGAGATTTGACTATCATGTTAAGATAATTTCAGTGAGAAAGTTGAAAAAAAATTTAAACAGATGGAGTCATCCATGGAGTAGCAGATGGCTACTCTATTCAATCCATTGGGAAGGCTGGAGGCAACATCTTCTTTAACTTTTGCTTGTCTATTCCTCGTGCCCTGGCTAGTCTAGTCCCTTATATGCCAGACTCTGAACATTATTAGCTGAAGATGAAGTTGTTTCTACTGACAATCAGAATAGAGCCTCTTCTCTGACTGAGTTCATTTCACAAATGTTTATTGAGCTCCTGACTCATAAATCTCATTTCCTGTTAAAGGATGACTGACACAGGGTGGACAGGGAATAAAACACCCACCCCTCTTCAGGAAGCTTACAGCCTAGTGATAAACACATACCCAGAGTGTGATTAGAGAATGTATATGTGTGTTTGTCGCTGAGGTTCTCCATGCCATGTGACCTTTGCTTTCTAATCTCTATCAGGCTCCACGATGCTCGTGAATCCCACATGAAGTGTTCTCATTTCCCTTTAGCCTACCGAAAACACAGCCCCTTTCTCAGGCTCTCAGACAATAATAAACAAGGTGGGTGAGTGATAACTTTACGAAGTCTGGTCTGTTTCCAGCTGGAAGGAGCCTCCTTCTCCTTGTTAGAGCTAGGTAGGATTTAGGGGCTTAAGTCTGGTGTCAGAGCACTCTTTTCTCTTCCCAGATACTTACTTTTTTTTTTTTTTACTCTTATCTTGTTTCACTCAGGTGTGTCTCTTTACATATTCTCCTGTATGTCTTTTTCACATGTCTCGTGTATGTCTTGATTCACTCAGTGTCTCTTTACATATTCTTCTGTACCAACACAAGGTGGATGTGAGGGTGTGTTGGTATCTTGTCTTCCTGGCAGAGTTGAGAGACACCCAAATTCCTCATCCCAAGAACATCCTTATCCCTCTAGACGGGTCTTTCCCTCCTGATGGGATTGACTTGATACAGAACAAGAGAAGAGAACAGTTGGGTTGGCACAACTACTGTGAACTTCCACTCTTCCCTCCTCCCTCTCTGGAATCCTGAGTGTAGGACGGGATTCCACCTCATGTTTGTTTTTTCAGAAATTGCCTATGACTTGAAGAGAAAGGTGACTTCTAAGTCTACTTTTGGACTCACTCCAGCCAGTTTCATTAAAATGCTAGCTATTCCAACATTGGAGTAAATTCTTGGCTATACTCTTTATTGTGATGTGCTTTCTAAGGGCCTTGCGTACTTGACTAATGTCATTCAGGTCCTAGCCATCCTGTACGTGGCAACCCCAGAGTGGGCGAAACTTGTCTGCACAAGCACACACACTGCTTCCTTGTCCTCAGATAGAGCCGTGTGGTGTTGGTAGCTGCAGAGAGACCTCTAAGGGGAAGACAGTGTCTCTTGCTCCCACTTTTCCCTTGCATATGTCTTAAAATCTAGAGAAAAGCTGACATCAACAAGTATTTCCCAGGAAAGAGAGAAACGGACCGTGAATAGCCATAGCTTCTCTAGTTTTACAGAGAAATAAAACAGTTATGAGTTCTTTGACATAATTCCTCATCCCAGACTAGGCTTTGGAGCCTAATACCCTGGACCTCCTTGGATGAAATTGGAAAGATAGTAACAATGAGCAAGACAAAGCAGATGTTTTGATTACTTTGTTGAGCCTCTTGTAGAACTTGGTAAAGACCTCACAGCTTTGCCTGTGATTTGCCAGCTATTATTCTAGATAATAGCTGGGAAAGATGTCCATGATACTTTGGCCAGTGGGGAGAAAGAAAGCAAGTTACAGAGCAATATTTATCATATGTCTACATGATTGCATGTGCATGTATCAACGTTTTTGAAAGTATTTACAAGTCATGGAAGGATATTCACAAAACCATTACCATTGGCTCACAGGATGGGGGTAATGGAATGGGAGGTAACGTAAAAGGGGTGGAGATAGGGAAACTTTATTTTTTTCATTGTACACCTCAAATCTGTGCAAATTGTTGCAATAAGCAATTTTTAAAAATATTCACATTGAGAAAATAAAAATAAGGCATTTTGTTTTCAAAAGTAGCTAGAAGGTCTGCTTATGTGCCTGAGGCAGTCTGGGAGACAGATTAAATCAGAGCCTTGCAAATCACTTGGGAGTGTGCTGGGCTGTCCATTGGGGGGCTCTGCCACAGGGAGGAGGTTGAGGCTGGCTGTTGGCAACTCGCCTACAGGAGCCTGCAGTACCTCAGTCCCGACCTCAGTACCAAGAAAGTTCAGTCAAGAGGCAGGCTGGACCTGGGGCTGGAGGGAGGAGCTTGAAACCGAATGAGCTGATAACCAGGGAGCCCTGCAGCAGGGCCTAGAGTCTAATGTTGTTTTAAGGTATAGCCAGCATTGAGTGAGCACTCTGGGGGTAGAGAGCATGCTAGAAATTTGCAAACATCTCATTAATCTACCACGTGCCTGTAGGTTTGTACTGTTATTACTGCCCATCTTACAGATGAGAAACACAAGTTTCAAAAGCTAAGTAATTTGTCCAGGTGAAAATATAGCTACGATCTTATTGTTATAGTGTGTGTGTGTGTGTGTGTGTGTGTGTGTGTGTGTGTGTACGTGCAGTTATATATTTATATACTTACAGTATATGCCATATAGCCTCCTAGTTTTCCAGTACTTTCTCACACCTGGGTAACCTCTAGTCTGAAGTTTCCTAAAAAGCAACACACTTGGGCCGGGCGCGGTGGCTCACGCCTGTAATCCCAGCACTTCAGGAGGCTGAGGAGGGCGGATCACAAGGTCAGGAGATCGAGACCATCCTGGTTAACACAGTGAAACCCTGTCTCTACTAAAAATACAAAAATACAAAAAATTAGCCAGGCGTGGTGGCGGGCGCCTGTAGTCCCAGCTACTCAGGAGGCTGAGGCAGGAGAATGGCATGAACCCGGGAGGTGGAGCTTGCAGTGAGCCGAGATTGAGCCACTGCACTCCAGCCTGGGAGACAGAGCAAGACTCCGTCTCAAAAAAAAAAAAAAAAAAAAACAGCAACACACTTACTGGTCTCTTTAATCTTCCAGGGTCCCTTCCATGTTGCAGGCACTCAGTAAATAGCAGTTTTATTGTATTTGTGGAACATAACACTGACAGGACTCAGAGCTCCAGGAGGTTGGAATAGAACCTCTCCAGGATGAAGCCACTAGAAGCAGGTCCAACTTGGGGGAGAGCTTTTCCTTAATGTAAAGAAAAGGCCTCTATTTCTTCAGCCCACTCTTTCCTCATATCTTTCTCCTTTTCCTCTTCCTTCTCTTATAAAAATATCTGACTTTGTGCTCTAGGATAAGAGAAAAATGCGAGTCCTGCACTACTGATTCTGATTAGAATTTAGTTCTTCCTCTACTGATCTGATTAGAATAAACAAGAGCCTCCTAGGACTTGAAAAAAATCCTTACTCAGATCTTGGATGAATTATTGCAGAGAGGTTTTAATTGGCTGTGGTTGGCCTCTGACCTCTTGTATAGATTGATTTATGAGGTGAATTTGCCATCAACTGCTGGAGAAATTGATAGCAGCATAGAGTACATGGTAGGAGATAGTAGTTGCTATTTGAATGGGGCTTGGAAAATATTAACACCATCCCCAGCCCCCACCCCACACACCCAGTTTTCTAGTCCATGGACAACATTCCCCAGGAACACTGATGGGCCTTAAGTTTCTCCTACATGTTTGGCTTCTGGAGTCAGATAGGAGTTGCCATTTTCTAATCTGCAGGAGAAAAAATATTAAGTTAATATTTAGCTTTATCTATTCTATTTCTTCCCATAATTGTCCTTAAAGCTGCTACGGGATTTTACATATGAAATTTTTTCTTTCAGCACAAAAAGGATTTGTTGTTGTTGTTATTGTTATTGCTGTTTTTTTGTTTTGTTTTGTTTTGTTTTTGAAATGGAGTCTTGCTCTGTCATCCAGGCTGGAGTGCAATGGTGCAATCTCTGCTCATTGCAACCTCTGCCTCCCAGGTTCAAGTGATTCTCCTGCCTCAGCCTCCCGAGTAGCTGGGACTATAGTCATGCACCACCATGCGCGGCTACTTTTTGTATTTTTAGTAGAGATGGGATTTCACCATGTTGGCCAGGCTGGTTTCGAACTCCTGACCTCAAAGGATCTGCCCGTCTCAGCCTCCTAGAGCGCTGGTATTACAGGTGTGAGCCACCGCGCCCAGCTCAGGGAATTTGTTTTTTCCTTTTCCCACCATTTTAGTTTTCCATGTGGCTCTTCAAGGCACGTGATGATGTCTACTTGAGAACCAGGGCCCTAGAGAAGCACAGTGGTTCTCAAGGGCTTTGGGAGAAGCCCTCGGACTATAGTCTAGCAGTTTCTCTCTCCTTGCTCAAAGAAGACAGTCAGCTTTAGAGGGACTGCATGAGACAAAAGGAGCTGTGAGCACTTCCAGAGCAGCACAGGCTGGTTCTACATCATGTCTGTATCTGGCCCTAGATACTTTAGGATAATGGGAAGCCTGTGCTCAGTGATACTTCTCTTCAGTTCATATTACTTGTAGGATGTAAGACAGTTCATCTCCAATGAGCCATTTTTGGAGAATGGTTTAGAAATAAGTGAAGCATTTCCTTGCAGGGATGATTGCAGCCTGTGTGTTATTCTGATTATACAGCCATCTACTGTCTAGTCCCTGCCTTCCTTCTCCGACAAGCTGCTTCTTTTTTTCTTTTCCATTTCTTTTTTTTTTTTGACAGAGTCTCTGTCACTAGGCTGGAGTGCAGTGGCGCGATCTCAAGTGGCTGCAACCTCTGCCTCCTGGAGTCAAGTGATTCTCCTGCCTCAGCCTCCCGAGCAGCTGGGACTACAGGTGTGCACCACCACACCCAGCTAATTTTTGTATTTTTAGTAGAGACAGGGATTCACCATGTTGGCCAGGGTGGTCTCAATCTCTTGACCTCAGGAGATCCGCCTGCCTAGGCCTCCCAAAGTGCTGGGATTACAGACATGAGTCACTGCACCAGGCCTTTTCTCCAACAGGCTTCTAAACCTTCCATGGCAGTTTGCTAGGTATGGAGTCAGTGCCTAATAACTTCATAGTAATTTTGTACATTCATTCCACAAATATTTATTGATTGCCTACCATTAATAACCTCTTAGTAGGCACCTGAAAAAAAAAGGCATGGCTCTTACCCTCACTGAGCTTAGTAGATTCTACAAGCCAGTAGGCATCGAATAAGTAAACACATGAAAAAATCACAAATTGTGGTATGTGCTAGAAAACAAAAGGAACAGGATGCTATGTGAGAGAATAAAAGGGGAAGCCTACATTACAGTAGGTAGTCAGGGAAGGACCCCCTGAGGAGGTGCCGTGTAAGCTGAGACCTAAAGAAATAAGGCAGCCATGGGAGAATGGGGGAATGCACCCCAGGCAGAAGTGGCAGCATGTGCAAAGGCCCTGCACAGGAGTAGGGTTGAGCAGGTGAAACTTAGGAGCTCAAAAAGGCCTTGTGGCTGAGGCATCATGAGCAATGCAAAAGTGCATAGGTGGTCAGAAGGCCAGATTCATTTAAGGTTTTGCATCCTGTATTAAGCAGTCTGGACTTCGTTCCCATGTGCAATGTGGAGACATGCTGACCCTTACAGGACCTCATTAAAAACTCTGCATCGAACCTCTGGCTAAAGAAGGCCTGTTGTCAGCCTTGAGCCAAACTAAACAGTCATATGTTTTGAAAAAGTGTAGTGTATCTCTTTCAATATTTTTTTCAAGGCCAGGCACGGTGGCTCACACATGTAATCCTAGTGCTTTGGGAGGCTGAGGTAGGATGATCTCTTGAGGCCAAGAGTTTGAGACTGCCTGAGCAACACAGCAAGACTCCATCTCTACAAAAAAAATAGCACAGTTACCCAGGCATAGAGGTGTGTGCCTGTAGTCCCAGCTACTCAGGAGGCTGACATGGGAAGATCACTTGAGCCCAGGACATCAAGGCTGCAGTGAGCCAAGACTGCACCACTGCATTTTAGCCTGGGCAACAGAGCAAGACCCCGTCTCAAATATATATATGCATATACATATTTTAAATGCAAATTATATACCCTGTATGGATATTATACAATTTGTATGCCATCTGCTTCCGTATTTAATATGTTACAGGAGTGTCTCATATCATCGAATAGTCATCTACAATAGGACTTTTAATGACTTCATACAATTTTCAGGCTGGGAGTGGTGGCTCACGCCTGTAATCCTAGCACTTTGGGAGGCCGAGGCAGGCGGATCACCTGAGGTCGGGAGTTCAAGACCAGCCTAACCAACATGGAGAAACCTTGTCTCTATTAAAAATACAAAATTAGCTGGGCGTGGTGGTGCATGCCTGTAATCCCAGCTACTCAAGAGCCTGAGGCAGGAGAATCACTTGAACCTAGGAGGCAGAGGTTAGGGTGAGCGGAGATCACACCATTGCACTCCAGCTTGGGCAACAAGAGCAAGACTCCGTCTCAAAAAAAAAAAATTCAGTATGAATGTACCATAATGAATTTAGTCTATCTCTTATTAGACATTTGAGTCTAATAGCTTAAATAATAGCTTAGTAACAAGGTAACAATATAAATAACTCAATAATAAATAACTTAAGTAACGATGTATAGAATTTACTTGTACAACGTTTGCACTTATGTATCTGATTATTCCCTTAGGAAAAACTCCTAGAAATGAAATTGCTAGGCCAAAAGAGTAAGCTTGTTTTTATGATTGGATCAAAACCACTAAGGAGTCAGCCTGAAAGTTACCAATTTTCACACTGTGAGTGAAATTTGAGAGTGGCCATTTCAACAGGAGTTCTGTTTTCAAATGGTGTGCATCAGGCTGCAGAGAAAAAGAGATGTTACTTAGGCCCACTTGGGTTGGAATCTTGAGTCTGGCCTCATAAGCTTTGGGTACTGCCAGTAAGATACTTGACTTTAAGGATTCAGTTTCCTCATCTGTAAAATAGGGGAGATAATAGTATTTGCCTCACAGGATTGCTGCAAAAATTGAGGCATGGAAAGCATTTAATATGGTATCTTCCCCGAGTACACACTTAATGAATATTAATTCTTTAGTTCTTTCTTTCTCCTTTCTCATTCTGTGTGTGTGTGTGTGTGTGTGTGTGTGTGTGTGTGTGTGTGCGTGTGTCTTATGGGTGTGGATTTGGACATGCTTTTGAGCAAATGGAAAAAGGAAAATCCCTGCCTTCATTATGACATCTTTCAGGCATTTAATGAAGTGTTTACCCACTTTCTCCTGGTAACTAAGAGTGTAATCTTCATATTCAAAAGTGAAATTGTTCCTGCACAGATATTTCCTTTTAAAGGAGAGGACAGGTCATTTTTGGCTAACACTGGGCTTAGGAACTATCTGTTTTGCACTTAGATATTTCATTATTTTTTCATATTATGAGCCTAAAATGTGACATGGGAGTAAGAGCCCCTAAATTCCTGGGTTTGAAGGCCGGCTCTTGCCACTCACAGGTGGCTTGGTTTTGGGTAAGTTGCTCACACTCAGAGCCTCATTTTCTCCTACTTTCATATGAGATAATAATACCACCTCTCAGTGTGGCTTTGAGGATTAAATGGAATTAACATAAGCAAGAGTACTTACCCTATGCTGTATAGGTCAATAAATGTTGAAGCCAAATCTCTCACCCACCTCCCAAGCAATGAATAGTGAAGAATTGGGCACATAAATCTCCCACATTCATGAGAAAAGACATCTGCTTTTAGGGGTAGCTCAGTCCTTTATTTCTGCAGTGATCTATTGCCTCTCCCCTTTCATACGCTGTCTGAAAAAATCACAATGACCCTGACTTATAACCAATATGAGAAAACATAAGTGATAAGGACACTGATGAATCTCCTGACACATTGCAGAGTTGTTTGAATAAGATCGACCCCCAATTTTCCTCCTTTGCCAACCTAGAAAAACTCTGAAATGACAAAGAAGTCCCAGGCAGCCAGTAGCCCAACAAACTGAAATGTGGAAGGAGTGCCTGAGTTCATGGTGGTCCTAAGAAAGTGTCAGCAAACAGAGAATCGCTGGTTTCTGGAGTGTACTGTAAAAGGTACATTCAGTCCTGCTGGTAGTGATGGCCTTGTTGTTACCATGCTGGAACCAACTTGAACTTGAACATATATAGATTTTATTTGGGGTGGGAGGAGGTAGCAATCAGGTTAGGAAAAAAGCCTAGATAATTAGAAAAAGCTTGGGAAGATCAGAAGTTTAAAAGTCATAGCTCAAATGAAATTTTGAGATTTTCTTCTTTCTTTCTTTCTCTCTTTCTTTCTTTCCCCTCCCTCCCTCCCTCCCCCATGCCCCTTTCCTCCTTTCCTCCCTTCCTCCTTCTTTCCTTCCTTCCTTCCTTCATTCCTTCTTTTCTTCCGTCTTCCTTTCCTTTCTTTCGTTTCCTCTCCTCTCCTTTCCTGTCTCTTTCTTTCTTTCCTTCTTTCCTCCCTCCCTCTTTCTTTCTTTCCCTTCCTCCCTCCCTCTCTCTCTTTCTCTCTCTCTTTGTCTTTTTCTGTCTCTCTCTTTCTTTCTTTCTTTCTCTCTCTCTCTCCTTCCCTCCTTCCTTCCTTCCTTTCTTTCTCTCTCTCTCTCTCTTTCCTTCCTTCCTTCCTTCCTTCCTTCCTTCCTTCCTTCCTTCCTTCCTTCCTTCCTTCCTTTCTTTCTTTCTTTCTTTCTTTCTTTCTTTCTTTCTTTCTTTCTTTCTTTCTTTCTTTCTCTCTTTCTTTCTCTCTTTCCTCTGTCACCCAGGCTGGAGTGCACTGCAGCCTCAAACTCCTGGGGCTCAAGCCATCCTCCCACCTCAGTCTCCCAGGTAGCTGAGACTAAAAGTGTGTGCCACAATGCTTAGCTACTTTTCTTTTTTTAGAGACAGGGTCTCACTATGTTGCCCAAGCTACTCTCAAACTCCTCACCTCAAGTGATCCTCCTGCCTTGGCCTCCCAAAATGCTGGAATTACAGGCATAAGCCACAATGCCTGGTTGAGACTTTGAAATTTTCTAATTATTTTTTTATTCTCGTTACTTCTGGAAATCTGTTCCTTCCACCTCTGTAAACAGGTAAAAATCCTCAAATTTCAAGTTCTGAAGGTATTAGCTAGAGCCTGGGCCTTGAGGCTTATTGATCTCTGCAGGCTGGCTTGCTCCACTCCTCCTGGATGTCTAACAGGCATCATGAACCTCTCCATCACTGTAGTGAGAACTCCATTGTTGCATTAAATTTGTGAACATTTATTGGGTTCCTGGTATGTGTCAGTTATGGAGACAGAAAGATGAATAAAATATGGGCTTTCCCCTCAAAAAGTTTATGTCTACTGGATCATAATGATCTATTGCTGTAGACTATCTCTTGATTTCCAACGATGCATTGGAATACTACCCTCATTCAAAAACACTTGGGAAATGGTTCTCTTCTAAAAGAGATGTTTACATGTGTATGTACGTGTATACTATATGTGCGTATTTATATATTTATATGTATGTATGTGTATATGTGTATGTATGTGTATGTGTGTATGTATATATGTATACTTGTATGTGTATGTGTGTATGTATATACATATATACACACACGTACGCGTACCTTCGCTACCTTCTGCTATTTTTTTTTTTTTTTTTGAGACAGAGTCTTGCTCTGTCACCCAGGCTGGAGTTTAGTGGTGTGATTTCAGCTCACTGCAACCTCCGCCTTGCGGGTTCAAGTGATTCTCCTGCCTCAGCCTCCCGAGTAGTTGGGATTACAGGCATCCGCCACCATGCCCAGCTAATTTTTGTGTTTTTAGTAGAGACAGGGTTTCACCATGTTGGCCAGGCTGGTCTCGATCTCTTGACCTCAGGTGACCTGCCCACCTCGGCCTCCCAAAATGCTGGGATTACAGACGTGAGCCACCATGCCAGGCCTAAACAACCTTTTAAAAAATGTCCTCAAATCTAACTTATGGCTTGGAAACATATCTCTAATTGGGTTTCCTATAATGTTTTATATTCCAGTGTTGTACTCTAGGTCAGCAGTCCCCAACCTTTTTGGCACCAGGGATCAGTTTCGTGGAAGACAATTTTTCCACAGACCAGGGGGTGGAGTGGGGGGATAGGACGGTTTCGGGATGAAACTGTTCCACCTCAGATCATCAGGCAGATCATCAGTTAGCTTCTCATAAAGAGCGTCCAACCTAGATCCCTCGCATGTGCAGCTTACAGTAGGGTTTGCGCTCCTATGAGAATTTAGGTTCTCCTGCCGCAGCTGATCTGAAAGGAGGCGGATCTCAGGCAGTAATGCTTGCCTGCTCACCACTCACCTCCTGCTGTGTAGACAGGCTCCTAATAGGCCACAGATGGGTACCCATCCATAGCCCTGGGCTTGGGGAACCTTGCTCTAGGTCATTAAAATTTCTAAATTATTCTCATAGTTTTGAAATGCATTATAACTTTTGTTTAACTATAACCTATAACTTCATAAAAACTGTAATCTTAAAACCTCCTAAGTATTCTTTTGTAAAATTATTCCTTTTATTCTCAGAAAATTTTCGTACGATAGATAAACTCATAGGAAAATTCAAGACTCATCGTCTGTCACATAATCAAAAACATTTTATCCAGCTACCTTATTTACTATTTTTGTGGATTTTAATAATGTTTAATGTTTTCGATTTTTTTCTAGGTGATGCATGTGATTTGCAATTAATGACAATGAAAGTCAGTTATTTTCTAAACTTTATCTCTCATATTTATGTTTTGTTGCATTGTGTAGAACAGGGTGGCTGGATGATTCTTTGTCCTGGGAGCTGTTCTGTGTATTGTAGGATGTTTAGCAGCATTCCTGGCCTCTAACTGAGAGTGCCAGTGGCACCCTGCTCCCCAAAGTTGTGACAACCAAAAATCGTTCCAGATGTTGCCAAGTGTCCCCTGCGAAGCAGAATTTTCACCATTTAGGAACCACTAATCTGTACTTTTCTTTTCTTCTTCTTCTTCTTCTTTTTTTTTGAGACGGAGTCTTGTGTCGCCCAGGCTGGAGTGCAGTGGCACGATCTCGGCTCACTGCAAACTCCACCTCCCCAATTCAAGTGATTCTCCTGCCTCAGCCTCCCAAGTAGCTGGGATTACAGGCACGCACCACCACGCCCGGCTTTTTGTATTTTTAGTAGAGACGGGGTTTCACCATATTGGCCGGGCTGGTCTCAAACTCCTGACCTTGTAATCCACCCGCCTCAGCCTCCCAAAAGCGCTGGGATTACAGGCATGAGCCACCATGACCAGCCTAATCTGTACTTTCCAAAACCCTATATAATAATAATAGTGATATGGCCATCCACAGTTTGTTTTCTATTTTACAGGGCATAAATGCTTCTGGCATTTTTCCATTAAATATACCAGATTAGCACAGGCAGTCTTTGTGAAATCAAGGAAATATAATTTTACTGTTACTTTAAAACAAATAAAATGTTAAACTGCAACATGTATTCATTGGTGACAATGTGGGATAAGTTCCTGGTGGTCTAAAATAATTAGTACCATTTAGTGGACCCCTTGAGACCAAGGCTGTGTGTGTGCACACGCGTGTATGTGCACATGCATGTATGTGCACATGTGTGTATGTGTGTGCGAAGGAACTGGGTAGGGAGTGTTATGTATCTCTTGACTCTGGACACTTGAATTGTAGAAGCAGAAAAGAGTACGTGCTAAGAGAAAGGGCTTTTTGCACTGTGAAGGAAAGGAAACCAAATATTAGATTATTGTTGTAACTGATAAATAGCCCCTAGGTATTTTGAGTAGATGAATTATTTAGCCACTCCTTTCAAATAATAATTTATAGCTCTTCTTTTTTTCCTGAACTCATTTTTATTAGGCTTCTGCTTTCAACGTTTCAAATACAATAATGAAGTTAAAAGTCGCTGTTATTAGCTTCCAATGGCCTTGCGAAATCTGCTTCTATGACAGAGGTGATGATGGCCAACTTGGCAAGAAGCTGCAGGGTTATGCTCAAACCTTCAAAAACAGACCAGAGCTGAGGCCATAGACAGACGGCGCAGGTGAGAGGAAGCATAAATTCTGCAGCTTAGCTGCTCTGACTCCACTTGGCCTGAATGGGCCTCCCTCCGTGGAGGGGTCTGAGGCCCCTTGGGCTGGCGGATTTATGTCAGTGAAAGCAGTGTAGTAGAAAGAGATTAAGAATAATTTCAAAGGGTGCTTGAGTGGGTTGCTCCTCCATCTGAGCAGCCTGGGACACAGAGTTCAGTCTGTGAGGACCTGGGTTGGTGCCAGCGAAGGGAGTAGGGCAGGCCTGAGGAATGGAAGGTCACTGGCAAATTGGGTGTTGTGATAATTATATTCTTGTTTCCTTGAAGGTACCAGCGTCCTTGATTTTCCAGCTTCAAAGTGAACTGCCTCTGAAGTCGGGGGACATTCACACCTGCTTTGCTGCCATTGATTTCTGCTTTCCTGGCTGCAGACTCAACAAGACAATACATCTGTTGACATTTTCAAGGCCATATTCATAAACCAGGCATGGGAAGCTTCTCTTCCACCTTTTCTTTTTAAGGGAAAATAACAAGGTTTGTGTGGTCAGTGATAATTCAGCAACGAATCCAATTTAATGGTTTTACCTTAAATTCAGATGCTTTATGAATCAGGTACTCTAAATCATCAACACCACCACTCTTACCTTCTCTCCCTCCAATTCTCACCCCTTCCTAAAAGGACAATCAGAGGACCAGGTCTAGTAATCACTACAAGTGTCAGTGTCCAATACACCTGGAATGGCTTTTTCCTTTATTTTTCCTATCTCGTTCATCTCCAGAGAAGCTGTACCAACAATGGATAAGAAGTATAAGCACAGCTCTGCCTTTCATATGTTCCTATAGCACTTAGCTTCCTATGAGACCTCAAGAGAGGGCCTTGTGTGTCTACTGGGTGAAATGAATATGATCTAAAAGTGGAATTTCCCCCAGCTAAACACATATATCTGCTGTCTCCCCACCCCAACTTCTCACTGGCCATCTGAACCCTCCCATCATTAAATGGGCAAATTTAAAACCATATTTTCATGTAAGAATTCCATTTGTTACAGATCAAATGACTGGTTTCTGACACTTAAAACCTTCCCAAGAAGTAAACTGGATATTATGCATAGGTTCCTGGATCCTGCCCTCTGATGTTTTTCTGTTGTTGCTATCAGTTTTATAGACTACACTTTTCTTCCTAGGCACAAGCAGGTTCTGGTCAAAACCTAGAAATTGGAGAGAGGGAAATATTCTCTATTTTTCTGCCTAGTTCTTGTTCTGATCATGACAGTGATAAATAGTGACTCCATATACAAAATATTTCATAATTATGTTTGACTTTTACTCTGAGATTGTACGAATAGACACTATTACATTAATGAATTTTGAATTTAGTGATATAAATAAAGTATTTTCACATTGAAAGAAGACTCGTAGCCAGGCGTGGTGGCTCATGCCTGTAATCCCAGCACTTTGGGAGGCCAAGGCGGTTGGATCACCAGAGGTCAGGAGTTCAAGACCAGCCTGGCCAACATGGTGAAACCCCGTCCCTGCTAAAAACACAATAATTAGCTGGGCATGGTTGTGGGCGCCTGTAATCCCAGCTACTTGGGAGGCTGAGGCAGGAGAATCATTTGAACCTGGGAGGCAGAGGTTGCAGTGAGCTGAGGTTGCGCCACTGCATTCCAGCCTGGGCAACAGAGCAAGAATTCGTCTCAAAAAAAAAGAAGACTCGCGGCTGGGAGCAATGGCTCACACCTGTAATCCCAGCACTTTGGGAGGCTGAGGCGGGCAGATCACCTGAGGTCAGGAGTTTGACACCAGCCTGGCCAACATGGTGAAACTCTGTCTCTACTAAAAATAGAAAAAGGAGCCTGGTGTGATGATGCGTGCCTGTAATCCCAGCTACTTAGGAGGCTGAGGCACGAGAATTGCTTGAACTCAGGAGGCAGAGTCTCAGTGAGCTGCAACCTGAGCAACAGAGCAAGACCCTATCTCAAAAGAAAGAAAGAAAGAAAGAAAGAAAGAAAGAAAGAAAGAAAGAAAGAAAGAAAGAAAGAAAGGCTCACCCCTACTCTGTCTCTCTTTCCTGTCTCTCTCTCCTGTCTCTCTCTCTCTTTTTCTGAGAGTTTTCCACTGCCTAGAATCAAGGGTAATGACTGCCATGACACCTAGACGGGAAAGAAAGCTCTATCCTCTCAAATCAGCTCCTGTCTGTCACCTGGGACCTCAGCATTCTGAACTCTTGCCTATGATTTAATGAGAGGCCCAGTGGTGCAGCCCAGGTGCTGTGTCTCATACCCTCGCCAATTGCCAAGGGAACATTTAATCTGTTGACTTTATTCAGTTATGCTAGTCTGGCAAACATACCTGGAGCTGTAAATTATTTAAGTGATTAATTTATTTGGTGTAGAAGGCACTCTCTTATACCTTAGCTGTCTAATAGCAAAAGATAAAAAACCACTTCATTTGCAAATCATAAAAACCTTAACAGACTTGTGCCTTAAGCAGTAAAAGAGATCTCTCTGACCTTAAAAGTATAACAGGGGTCCAAACCAGCATTGTTAACACTTTTTTTTCTCTGTAAGAAAAATTATGATATAAACCTGACTGGACTAGAAGGGGAATGGGAAATGAACACCTTCTATCGGCTGCTGACGGACAACCAGTTTAAAGGGAGCACAAGGTAAGTTGTGAATGAGAAATGGGGAGCACAGCAGGGACCCTACTATTACCATGTACTACCCTGTGGCCCAGAGGAAGAAGTTTAAAACTGTAGAAAGTTTTGATGCAAAAGTAATTGTGTTTTTTGCCATTGAAAGTAATGGCAAAAACCCCAATTACTTTTGCACCAACCTAATGTAACTTAAACCCTGTTAGTACACAAACATAATACCTAATAGTGAAATACATCATTGTTTTGCGTATTGACCTCATATTCAGTACATTTCATTTAAAAAGAAACTGAGTATATGTTTCATTAAAATAGAAACAAACAACAGAAACAAATGATCTTACGGAATGACTGACCACTACAGCATGAGATTAGGGACCCAACCTTCCACTATTTCACTCAGCATTTTTTTGTTTTTTTGAGACTGAGTCTCGCTTTGTTGCCCAGGCTGGAGAGCAGTGGCATGATCTCAGCTCACTGCAACCTCCGCCCCCAGGTTCAGGCGATTCTCCTGCCTTAGCCTCCCAAGTAGCTGGGACTACAGGCACCCACTACCATTCCTGGCTAATTTTTGTATTTTTAGTAGAGACAGGGTTTCACCATGTTAGTCAGACTGTTCTCGAACTCCTGACCTCAAGCGATCTGCCTGCCTCGGCCTCCCAAAGTGCTAGGATTACAGGCATGAGCCACTGCGCCTGGCCCTCACCCATCCTCTTGATGAAAAAGGGTTGATTTGTAGCAAAAAATTAGCATAACCTATAGCAATACAAAAATATCAACTATGGGAACATAGAAATTCTTTGTGAAATTTTTCTTTTATACCCGCCTTTTTTTTTTTTTTTTTTTGAAGATGGAGTCTCGCTCTGTTGCTCAAGCTGGAGTGCAGTGGCACAGTCTTGGCTCACTGCAACCTCTGCCTCCCGGGTTCAAGCAATTCTTCTGCCTCAGCTTCCTGAGTAGCTGAGACTATAGGCGCATGCCACCACACCTGGTTAATTTTTTATATTTTAGTAGAGACAGGGTTTCACCATGTTGCCCACGCTGGTCTCAAACTCCTGAGCTCAGGCAATCCACCCACGTCAGCCTCCCAAAGTGCTAGGATTACAGGCATGAGCTACCACACCCAGCCTTATACCTGCCTTGTTTTAAAGCTACTTCTGAAATAAGGTGACATTATTGGGCTTTTGTTTATCATCATCCAAATTTTTTTTTAGTTTTTCTTCACCAATGAGATGCAGCAGAGTTTTAACTATGAACACTGACTCTGCAGTCTGGCTGCCTGGGTTTGAATTCTTGACTACATCTGATTGGCTGTGTGACCTTGGGGAAGCTACTTAACTTCTCTGTACTTGTTTCTCATCTGCACAATAGGGATATTATCTTCTTCACACTTCTTTACTTCTTGTGTAGTAAAGTACTTAAAACAGTGCATGACACATAATAAATGTGAAGTATGCCTTGACACATGTTAACTTATTGTTATGAATCATCTACTATGTGCTTTGGAGTGATTTCCTTATAATAAGAAATTCTATGAGGTAGTTATTGTTATTCCCATTTTGTTGAAGGAGGAATTTACTTCAAGCCCCACAGCTAGAAATAAGCAGAGGTTAATCTGGAACTCAGGTCCGTATGTCTCTGTGGCAGGTCCGGATCCCCAAGAAGCAGACTGTGAGACAGGGATCTCTGTGCAGGGAGTTTAGTGGGGAGTGCTCCGGGCAACACCTGTGGCCGGAGGGAAACGCTGAGCTGCAATGTGGTAGGAGCAGCAGCAATGAAGGCCTCGGCCTACCTTGCAGGAGCTCTGGCACGGGCGTGACCCTTCAGAGTTGGACCCATTGGGACAAGAGGCCAATGGTTAACCAACCCTTCCACTGAATCTTCAGTCCTTGGATGCAGGCTGCCCCAGAAGGGTATGTGGCTTTGGGCAAAGCAGCTCCTTTCAACCAAGGGCTAGCTCCAGCGAGGCTCTTAATTGCCAAGGCTCCTAGCAGCTGCAGGAACAGCGCATCAGTCTCACAGGGGAATGTGAGCAGTGTATCACAGGGTCCATATCCCCCTGCAGCTTAGGAGGAAGGTGTTTAAAGTAAGCTCACGGACCATGGGGGGTGTGATCACTGCTCTTTTTGTCCTGAATCTCTCAGACCCCACTATGTCAGGCAGTCTAAGAAGCACGTGGATGGACTACTGTTTCTGTAAACTACAGAAAGTGCATGACTTACGCCTGTAATCCCACCAGTTTGGGAGGCCAAGGCGGGCGGATCATGAGGTCAGGAGATGGAGACCATCCTGACCAACATGGTGAAACCCCGTCTCTACTAAAAATACAAAAATTAGCTGGGCATGGTGGCGCGTGCTTCTAATCCCAGCTACTTGGGAGGCTGAGGCAGGAGAATCTCTTGAACCCGGGAGGTGGAGGTTGTAGTGAGCCGAGATTGCGCCACTGCACTCCAGCCTGGCAGCAGAGCAAGACTCTGTCTCAAAAAAAAAAAAAAAAAAAAAGAAAAGAAAAAGTGCTTGATGACTTGAAATAGGCACAGCAGCTGCTAACCAACACCAAAGACAAGTAAATCACCGGCAGACCCTGGATGCCACAGTTTATATTCTCTTCATAGCTGATGCTTGGTCATTTACAAAATGTTTAAATAGCCCAAGTTTTAAAAATTCAATCTCCATAGTATTTTTTATGGCGTATGTCATAATCTAGAGACTAGAATCACAGAATTTTAAGACTGGAAGGAGACTGAGAGATCTAACCTCTTCATTTGAGTTGGGGTGGAGGGGAGTGATTTAGTCAAGGTCACACAGCAAGTTAATAGTTACACACAATGGGATTGGGATCATAAGCATGAAAATTGATATCTCAAGTGGAGGTTAGCTGTTTGCCAACTGCAAAGAAATTATAAAAACAAATTCTTGGCTGAAAACTTGAAAGGATAGGTTTGGAATGTTATCTTAATGCACATTACAATCTTGAAGTTTCTTGTCATATCCAAGATAAAGTACTGTGTTTATATTTTATTCATTTCCATGCAAAATGGCTTCTAAAATGAAATGCCAAGAATTCTCACTGACATGGTGTGGTTTGCATTTCCTTGACTATATTTTGTTTCTCTTTGACAGGAAGATATTTTTATGATTAAAATACTCTTCTACTCTTAGTACTATAGTTTTCCCCCATATATTTGATCCAATTACATAAATACTGTACAGTGTTGGAAATCTTTAAATAACCTATTTCAGATTTGAGAGTAAAGTCTTATCTTTGAAATACTTTCAGAAAACACATCAGACATATGGAGCTGTCGGGTTTAAAACAGTACCACGAATTTTATAGTTACTTATTATCTAAAGTGCAATATTCTCTGGCATATAGATATATCCATAACCTTGAAGATTAGTTCTCAGCCAAAAAAAAAGCTTTTAATTTTTCATTACCTCCTTTGTACACTACCTGGCTGGAGTTAGAGACATTTAAAAATCCCATATGATTGTTCAGCTCTTCAGAGTTGTTAACCCTTACATTTCCAGCAGAAAATCTACTGAACAACATTTAATTAATTATTAACAATAGTAGTAGTTTAATATTGGAGCTTAGCGCACAGACTCGGGAGATATAATGCCTGTGGTCAAAGCCCAGCTTCACCAGCTGTGTGACTTTGGGCAAGTTATTTAACTTCTACAAAATGGAAATGGTATTATCACTTGGCTCTTGTGGTTATTCTGAGGATTAAATGAGGTAATATTACATGCAAAATGCTTAGAACCGAGCCTGCCCATAATAGCTCTCAGTTGATGCCCTATCATTAGAATTTGCTTTTTAAATTGTAGAGGACTGAATCTTTACAAATAAAGTTAAAGATGAAATTTAAAAACTAGATGCACCTAAGTGAGCACATTAAATTTTTTATTCTTACAGTGGAACTCTTTGGTGAAACAGAATCATAAGCCTAGATAGACCATATGTTTAGATTTTAAAGGTTCATTTCACAACTTGAAACACATAATGAATGCGATGGCAAATTACCAATTTTTAACCAGAAGAAATTTGATGCTGGAAATCAAAACGGTGTTCTGATCGTGGGCTGTAGAAAATTATTCTCAACTGGCAGCTCCATGAAGCAGTAACTATGGCAAGCTTGCTTACCACTATATGCCCAGCCTTTTGCACACTGCCATATAGTAGGAATTTAATATATGTGAAATCACTGAATGCCTGAATGTAAGAGGCAAGGCCCTTTAATTCATAGAATTTCAGAGTCAAAAGGGGCTGCCTGCTGCTGATATCACAAATAAGGAACCTGAGAATAAATGACTTAAAACTAACTATGTGGTTAGCTTGTAACAGAGCCAGAATCCAAGGTGTTGACACCCAGCCTTGGGCACTTTCAACTAAGTCATTGGCTTCTACAGTATTGGTTACTCCCAAAGAAATCCCAACACTTTGGGAGGCCGAGCCGGGTGGATCACCTGAGCTCAAGAGTTCAAGATAAGCCTGGCCAACACGATGAAACCCTGTCTCTACTAAAAATACAAAAATTAGCTGGGCATGGTGGCGGGCATCGTAATCCCAGCTACTCAGGAGGCTGAGGCAGGAGAATCACTTGAACCTGAGAGGTGGTTTTTTCTAGTGAGCTGAGATCACCCCATTGCACTCCAGCCTAGACAACAAGAGTGAAACTCCGTCTCAAAAAAAATAACAAAAAAAGAATTACTAGAATTTTAATACTTGTGCCTTCCAAAAAGGAAGAAAAGTACCAGCAAAGATAGTGAGGTAGGAAAGAATGTTTGCAGAAAAGAAAGTCGTTCTGTTTTGCTCTGCAAATACAGTTTTAATGGCAAAAAAGAACAGAAAGTTAAATGGCAACTGTACCATGGAGGGCTCTAAATGCCAGGGGGAAACTTCATTCAGTAGTGAATACAAGGCCATTGAACATTTTTCAGCCGGAAGGTAACATAAATTCAATCCAGCCTTTACTGAATATCTACCATGTACCAGGTACTATGTTAGGCATTAGGGATATAAAAATGAAGGGTATTCAATTAGGAAAAGAGAAGTCAAATTGTCCCTGTTTGCAGATGACATGATTGTATATCTAGAAAACCCCATCGTCTCAGCCCAAAATCTCCTTAAGCTGATAAGCAACTTCAGCAAAGTCTCAGGATACAAAATCAATGTGCAAAAATCACAAGCATTCTTATACACCAATAACAAACAAACAGAGAGCCAAATCATGAGTGAACTCCCATTCACAATTGCTTCAAAGAGAATAAAATACCTAGGAATCCAACTTACAAGGGATGTGAAGGACCTCTTCAAGGAGAACTACAAACCACTGCTCAATGAAATAAAAGAGGACACAAACAATGGAAGAACATTCCATGCTCATGGATAGGAAGAATCAATATCGTGAAAATGGCCATACTGCCCAAGGTAATTTATAGATTCAATGCCATCCTCATCAAGCTACCAACGACTTTCTTCACAGAATTGGAAAAAACTACTTTAAAGTTCATATGGAACCAAAAAAGAGCCTGCATTGCCAAGTCAATCCTAAGCCAAAAGAACAAAGGTGGAGGCATCACGCTACCTGACTTCAAACTATACTACAACGCTACAGTAACCAAAACAGCATGGTACTGGTACCAAAACAGAGATATGGACCAATGGAACAGAACAGAGCCCTCAGAAATAATACCACACATCTACAACTATCTGATCTTTGACAAACCTGACAAAAACAAGAAATGGGGAAAGGATTCCCTGTTTAATAAATGGTGCTGGGAAAACTGGCTAGCCATATGTAGAAAGCTGAAACTGGATCTCTTCCTTACACCTTATTCAAAAATTAATTCAAGATGGATTAAAGACTTAAATGTTAGAGCTAAAACCATAAAAACCCTAGAAGAAAACCTAGGCAATACCATTCAGGACATAGGCATGGGCAAGGACTTCATGTCTAAAACACCAAAAGCAATGGCAACAGAAGTCAAAATTGACAAATGGGATCTAATTAAACTAAAGAGCTTCTGCACAGCAAAAGAAACTACCATCAGAGTGAACAGGCAACCTACAGAATGGGAAAACATTTTTGCAATCTACTCATCTGACAAAGGGCTAATATCGAGAATCTACAAAGAACACAAACAAATTTACAAGGAAAAAACAAACAACCCCATCAACATGTGGGCGAAGGATATGAACAGACACTTCTCAAAAGAAGACATTTATGCAGCCAAAAGACACATGAAAAAATGCTCATCATCACTGGCCATCAGAGAAATGCAAATCAAAACCACAAGGAGATACTATCTCACATCAGTTAGAATGGTGATCATTAAAAAGTCAGAAAACAACAGGTGCTGGAGGGGATGTGGAGAAATAGGAACACTTTTACACTGTTGGTGGGACTGTAAACTAGTTCAACTATTGTGGAAGACAGTGTGGCGATTCCTCAAGGATGTAGAACTGGAAATACCATTTGACCCAGTCATCCCATTACTGGGTATATACCCAAAGGATTATAAATCATGCTGCTATAAAGACACATGCACACGTATGGTTATTGTGACACTATTCACAATAGCAAAGACTTGGAACCAACCCAAGTGTCCATCAATGAGAGAATGGATTAAGAAAATGTGGCATATATATACCATGCAATACTATGCAGCCATAAAAAAGGATGAGTTCATGTCCTTTGTAGGGACATGGATGAAGCTGGAAACCATCATTCTCAGCAAACTATTGCAAGGACAAAAAACCAAACACCACATGTTGTCACTCATAGGTGGGAACTGAACAATGAGAACACTTGGACACAGGAAGGGGAACATCACACACCGGGGCCTGTTGTGGGGTGGGGGGAGTGGGGAGGGATAGCATTAGGAGATATACCTAATGTAAATGACAAGTTAATGGGTGCAGCACACCAACATGGCACATGTATACATATGTAACAAACCTTCACGTTGTGCACATGTTCCCTAGAACTCAAAGTATACTAAAAAAATGAATAAAATGCAGTCCATGCCTTCAAGCAGCCTACTATTTAGTAACATAATTGAAAATGTACTTAGGAAGACTGATTTAGACTATAGTGGGAAGACCAGGCACCAATGTGAATAAATCAACTTGGAGGCTACTTTCCAGGCAGGAGCTCAGGAGGGCCAGAACCATATGACTAATAGTAGAGATTAAAAGGAAGGAATGGATTGAGAGGTCTTATGGAGGTCGAGTCGGTAGAATGTTCCAATTATCCAGATATTGGAATCAAGGGAAAGGAAAGACCCAGGGATCATATGAAGGTTGTAAACATGAAGGCAATGGAGAATGGTGCCATTAACAGAAATATCAGAAAGAGTACTTGGTGTGAGGAAAAAGATGATATCTTTGGTTGTATATACATTGAATTTGAGATTCTATGAGTACAGTTGTCCTTTGGTATCCATAGGGGATTTATTCCAGGACCCACAGCAGATATCTAAATCCTTTATATATCAAAGTTCCTTGTATAAAATGGTATCTTATTTGCATATAACCTAGGCACATCCTCCCATATACCTTAAATCATCTCTATATTACTTACAATACCTAATACAATGTAAATGCTATATAAATAATTGTTACATTGCATTTTTAAAAACTTGTATTATTTTAAATTGTCATAGCTTTTTATTGTTTTTTTTCCAAATATCTTTGATCTGCAGTTGGTTGAATCCACAAATGCAGATCCCAGGGATACAGAGAGCTGACTGTATATCCTGATGGAAGTATCCAGCAACGAGTTGGATATATGAAAACAGAACTCATGGAAGAAGTCAGAAATCAGAGTCCTTGCACAGCAGTAACTGTTTACACCATTTACGGAAGATAAGATTGCAGAGGGAGCTACAAAGTCACTTTTTTTTTAATTGCAGGATAAATCAACTGGGTGCGGTGGTTCAAACCTGGAATCCTAGCACTTTGGGAGGCTGAGGTCAGGAGTTCAAGACCAGCCTGGACAAGAAAGCAAGAACCCTGTCTCTTAAAAAAAAAAAAAAAAAAAAAAAAAGGAAAAGAAATTAGCTGGGTGTGATGGCATGCACTTGTAGTCCTAGCCACTAGGGAGGTTAAGGCTGAGGCAGCAGGATCACTTGAGCCCAGGAGTTTCAGGTTGCACTGAGCCATGATCAGCCACTGCACTCTCGCCTGGGCAACAGAAAGAGACCCTGTCTCAAAAAGCAAAAAAGGAAAGAAAATTTTAAAATGCAGGATGAACATATGAAAATCACAGAAGGCCGGGCATAGTGGCTCACGCCTGTAATCCCAGCACTTTGGGAGGCTGAGAGGGGTGGATCACTTGAGGCCAGGTGTTTGAGACCAGCCTGGCCAATATGGTGAAACCCGTCTCTACTAAACATACAAAAATTAGCCGGGTGTGGTGATGCACGCCTGTAGTCCCGGCTACTTGGGAGGCTGAGGCAGGAGAATTGCTTGAACCCAGGAGGCAGAGGTTTCAGTGAGCCAAGATCGCGCCAGTGCACTCCAGCCTGGGTGAGAGAGCAAGGCTCGCTCTCAAAAAAAAAAAAAAGAAAGAAAGAAAGAAAGAAAATCTCAGGACTTCATCACAGGATAAGACAGTGAAACACAAAACTACCCTTCTATCCAAAAGTCTTATCCTGTCACAATAAATGAAATGTCATCCTTACAGATCCATTCCCCTATGTCTTGGAGGCTTTTTAGTCCCAGTGACTCCAGTTACAGTATAGAAACTCCCAAATAATCCTTAGACCCTGATTGACGATGCCTTACCCAATATAGGCTTGTCAGGGAGCATCTTCTTTATCTGGCTGAGGTGGTACCCAGCATAGGCATCAGGCTTGGGTGTGTTGGAGCTTGAGGCTGTTCAGGAGATGAGGAAAAGGGAACCGGACTCTGAACAGAAGGTGGTCAGGGACCAGATCAACTACTGAAGCCTTCAAGGGTCTCCTGAGGCCCAGCCATAGAACGTGCACACAATTATGTCTTTACTAAATGTGTGGAGTGGGAATTTGGAATAAACAGTTCTGCACTTTGGCTGGGCGCAGTGGCTCACGCCTGTAATCCCAGCACTTTGGGAGGCCAAGGCGGGTGGATCACGAGGTCAGGAGATCGAGACCATCCTGGCTAACACGGTGAAACGCCATCTCTACTAAAAATACAAAAAGTTAGTCGGGCATGGTGGCGGGCGCCTGTAGTCCTAGCTACTCGGGAGGCTGAGGCAGGAGAATGGCATGAACCCTAGAGGTGGAGTTTGCAGTGAGCCGAGATTGCGCCACTGCACTCCAGCCTGGGTGACAGAGCGAGACGGTGTCTCAAAAAAAAAAAAAAAAAAAAAAATTCTATACTTTTACTTGTTTGGATAGCTAGGATGTTTATGTGGCGGATGGTTGACTGAAATATTAAATTTTCTTTCTCTTCATTTCAGACAGACATCCAGGCTTTGTCACGTCTTCCTGCAAAACAGGCTGGGGCCAGGAAAGGTGGCTCATGCCTGTAATCCCAACACTTTGGGAGGCAAAGATGGGTGGATCGCTTGAGCCCAGGAGTTCAAGACCAGCCTGACCAAGATGGTGAGAGCCTGTCTCTTAAAAAAAAAAAAAAGAAAGAAAAAAAAAAGGGAGAGAGAGACAGAGAGCCGGGTGCGGTGGCTCACGCCTGTAATCCCAGCACTTTTGGAGGCCAAGGAGGGTGCATCATGAGGTCAGGAGATTGAGACCAGCCTGGCCAACATGATGAAACCCCATTTCTACTAAAAATATAAAAAAATTAGCTGGGTGTGGTGGTGCGCACCTGTGCTCCCAGCTACTCAGGAGGCTGAGGCATGAGAATTGCTTGAACCTAGGAGATGGAGGCTGCAGTGAGTTGAGATCCCACCACCACACTCTAGCCTGGGTGACAGAGTGAGATTCTGACTCAAAAAAAAAAATTTTGCCCTTGATATTTAATGCCACTGAACACCCAACAGTGTTCAGGGGGTACATTTTATGTTGTGTATATTTTACCACAATTTAAAATTTTGAATACAATATCAAACAATTTTGTTCTGAGTATTCTGATATATGTGTTACAACAAGAAATAGACATAGCATTTACTATCATAAAAAAAATAGTTTTCCATGTTGGAGCACCACAAGGGGTGTTCTGCAGAGGGAGGGCCAAGGGAGGATGGTTTTGAGGAGATGAGTTTAGGAGAAGCGAAACCTGGTCAGGGAAGAGTGCAGATTCCTCTAGATGGGATCTGCTGCCTGCTTCTGAACAGTGGCTGGATGGACAGCACCTAGTGGGGAGAGGCTGCATGTGCTCCCACAGAGGCCTAAGGCCAGCCTCCCCAAAGAGTCCTTCCCTGGCCCTAGGCGAGGTACAAAAGTGCCTGCTCAGCCTGGAGGAGAGGCACAGATTTCACCTCTTTTTGTACATCGCTAATAATCAGCTCCTAGAGCAGGGCCTGACATGTGGTAAGAATTCAATACATTTGTTAGCTAAATGAATGACGATGGCAAAGCAGGGCTTTATGTTATATAAAACCTCTGGACTTCTGCACTAGCCTGTGGACTGGAGAGAAGGGAGGTAGACGGTTAACTTTCTCAAGAGCCTGGCAGGATGAGGACTTAGAGTCAGACTTAGGTTGATTTGTGGAATATATAATAATGACATTTCAGAGTTGGAGTGTGCAATGAGCTAAGATTGTGCCACTGCACTCCAGCCTGTGTGACAGAATGAGACCCTGTCTCTAAAAATAAAAATTTTAAAATGGCTTTCCTTGCGCACCTGAGAGCCTTTTTTTTTTTTTGAGATGGAGTTTTGCTCTGTTGCCCAGGCTGGAGTGTAGTGGCACAGTCTCGGCTCACTGCAACCTCCGCCTCGCGGGTTCAAGTGATTCTCCTGCCTCAGCCTCCTGAATAGCTGGGATTACAGGTGCACGCCACCAAACCAGGATAATTTTTTTGTATTTTTAGTAGGGACGGGGTTTCACCATGTTGGTGAGGCTGGTCTTGAACTCCTGACCTCATGATCTACCTGCATCGGCCTCCCAAAGTGCTGGGATTACAGGTGTGAACCACCACATCCGGCCTGAGCCTTTTGTTTTAAACTGACTATTCCCTTGCATCCTTCATAATATGTTCTATAACCCAGTCTTGCAGACAAATGGCAGGCTTATTTAACACTTAAAAAGGATTTTACGCACTAATTTATGAGCAGCAAAGAATCCAGTGACATGTGAAGAGTAAGACACTGGCTGGGAGCAGTGGCTCACACCTGTAGTCCCAATACTTTGGGAAGCCAAGGAGGGAGGATCACTGGAAGCCAAGAGTTCGAGACCAGGCTGGGTAACATAGTGAGACCCTGTCTCTACAAAAAGAAAAAGAAAAAATTAGCTGAGAACCATAGCCCCCAGCTGTAGTCCCAGCTACTCAGGAGTCTGAGGCAGGAGGCTCGCTTGAGCCCAAGAGTTCGAGGTTATAGTGAGCTATGATTACACCACTGCACTACAGCCTGGGTGACAAAGTGAGACCTTGTCTCTAAAAAATTTTTTTTAAATAAACAATTAAAGAATAAGACATCCTCTCCACAGGCAGCCTTGGATGTGAATCAAGTCTGGGGTAGACCTAATCAGGTCCTGCACTTCTCTTACATGGACTTTGAGGCTACGGGTTGCAGTGGAGAGGGCTAGATGGTGATCCCAGGAAACTTGGGATCTCTTCTGCAAAACAGAGGGTTGAATATGATGGTCTCAAAGACAGGTTTGGGATTCAGCCTGTACACACTTGGGCTGGCCGTCTCCAGTGTCTCCAGACTGTGTGGTTTCTGATTGGTCAGGTATGCACGGTACAGTGGTTAAATATTTTGCATATCAGCCCTACTCTCAGGTCTCTTCCATGTGAGGACAAATCTCTTGCAGATCTTCAGAAGACAGAGGTAATCTGGCTTTCCAGAAACAGAAGAATCACAGGAATTCATCCAAAGCGTTGATTTATCCTGATTATAAACACTCCTGTGATGACTCCAGGAGCAATCGCTATGTGCAATATAAAACTGACTTATCACTGGCTCTGTGCCCCAATTTTCCATTTTCTAACCCTTCTAAACCTTTTCTCCCTTTATTGTAAAGTACTATTTTTTTCTGGCTTCAAAACACGTGGATACCTTCCCCATCAATGTGGAAAAGAAGAATAGGAGGCTTGAACCTGGAGTTTCTGAGGGTCTCTCTTGGTGCCTCAGTGTTCCTCCTTGGGAGAAAGCCAAACACAAAGAGAAGATGCGGAGCTGAGACAAACCCAGGCAGCCAAGGAGCAGCGTTTCCTCACCTCTCCTTACTTCTGCCAGTGTTTCCTCCACCTGGAAAGTCCTGTCTGCACTCTTTCCCCTGGTTAGCGTCTAACAAACCCTCAACACCCCAAACTATGGTTATTCTGCTTCTATAATACTTTCACAAAATGAACTTACCATTTTCAAATATAGATATTTATAAGTCTATTTCCCATCAGAACTCCTGAAGGGCAGAAAGTGGGTTTGGTTCCCTGTGTGCCCCACTGCCCAGCACAATACTGGGCTCTCTAAGTCAGATGTGCTAGAAATGAACATTTGTTCAGCCTCCCTGGTTGAGACCAACAATCCTATTAGAACACAGTTTGGGCCAGGTGCAGTGGCTCACACCTGTAATCCCAGCACTTTAGGAGGCCAAGGCGGACAGATCACTTGAGGTCAGGAGTTCGAAACCACCTTGGCCAACATGGTGAAACGCTGTCTTTACTAAAAATACAAAACACTTTCAACTGTTAAATTGGTTATATTGTAAATCTAATCACCGTACTAAAATGAAGACATTTGTTCTGGAGGGAAAGGCAACACAGAAAAGGGTTTTAAGTGTTCACTCTTGGGGAGGAAGAAGGAATGCACAGGCCTCTTTGGGCAGAGGCTGCCTGAGGGTCAGCAGTCTGTGGGCTTCCCTGCGCTTTTGCTTTCTTCAGGAATTGACAGAAGGAGACCTTGGGGGGAAATTTTAAACTCATTTGATTGTGAGATATAACCCTCATACACAAAAATGCAGTTTAACAAGTTGTTATAAAGTTAACCCCCATATCAAGAAGTATAATATTGCTAACCCTCCCTCAAAGCTTCTCCCATGCTCCTGGAGATAACCATTATCGTGGCTTTTACGAGAATCACATTTTTGCTTCTGAAAACAATAATTTAGCACCAAAGTTTGCATCTAGATAGAATCTGGCTTTGAGATTTATATAAATGGGAGGAATGAATTGTTCACCTGTGTCTGGCTTCTTTTGCTCAACCTTGCGTTTGTGAGAACCATCCACCTTGCATGTAATTGCAATTTAGATTCATTTCAGGACCGTATTTTTTTATTTGTCCATGTACTGTTGATGGACATTTAAATTATTTCTAGCTTGGGGATTTACTAGTAAGCCTGCTGGGAACACTCTTGTGCATGTATGCTGATGCACATGAACATTTGCTCATCCTCCCTGGTTGAGACCAAACAGTTCTATTAGAA